>NC_000005.10:87382534-87685564 GCF_000001405.40 Homo sapiens
TAAGAGGTTAATTATTAGTGTGGATTCTTCTTAAAAGGAAATTAGAAATTATCTACATGACAACATATCCTCCCTACCAGTGACTAAAGGAGGCAGAATAGGAGTATCTATGCAAGCTTTTAACACTGACATTGTCCCAAAGTAAAATTAGCAGATAAAATCATATATGACAGCTGTTAGTATAATTTTTGCTTTTGCTATTGTTTTATAATTTGACAACTTTTTAAAACTTTAGAATTCCTAATGTCTTGTCTTAAAAGTTTTTCAGGCTGGGCATGGTGGCTCAAGCCTGTAATCTCAACATGTTTAGACCAAGACAGGAGGATTGCTTGAGGCCAGGAATTTGAAATTGTCCTGGGCACCGTAGCGAGACTCTGCTTTCTACAAAAATAATTAAAAAAAAAAAAAAATTGCCAGGTATGGTGATGTGCACCTGTAGTCCTAACTACTCTAAGCCTGAGGCAAGAGAATTGTTTGATCCCAGGGGTTCAAGGTTGCAGTGAGCTGTGATTGTGGGCCACTGCACTCCAGCCTGGGTGACAGAACAAAACCCTATCTCAAAGAAAACAAAGAAAAAAGGAAAAAAGAAAACCTTTCCAGTGTTCTATTATAGACATTTTCATTGATCAATAAGTCACTTTTTCTCTAGTGCAATGGATTCTTATTTTTATGTGAATCATCAACAAAATCAATGCAACCAACTTAGGCTGTTCTGTTTAAATAAATTAAGAAATGAGGGTGTGTGAAGTTCTAAAATTGTACAGAACTATGCTTATATAAAAAGTTTATTTCTACTCCTGTGGTATTTCAGAAATTCTTAAGATTCCTGAGGATACTACTTTCTCTAAGTATCAAATGACCACTAGCCTGGAATAATAAATAGTAAGCAAGACAGTAAATACTACAGATAAACAACATTTTCCCAAAGTTAATCCACATTCTAAATTGGGAAAAGTGAGTAATACATTCAAGAAGCAGATATATATATTCTTAAAATACGATGCTTTGGCTTACTGTTTTCTTAAAGCTTTCTGTGTCTGGGCTTTCTTTTATTGGTTTAGAGTGAATTTTATGGGTTCTATGAGTACTAAAAATTCTGTTTATATATATTGTTTTAATGTAACACATTATATAGGTGTTTTCTAAAAAAAAAAAAAAAAAATTTCCCTCCCATTCAGTGGTTTTGTTTTTCTTCGACTCATCTGTCCTGCCATCCTGAATCCACGGATGTTCAATATCATCTCAGGTAATCAGCTTTTGATACATTTTGAAATTCAAAATATTAGAATTAACAGTTTCATACTATTTAAGAATACTCTTAAATCTTTTTTTTTTTTTTGATCATCCAATTCTAGTCATGGCATATATGAAGTATTCCAAAGCACCCTTCCTTCCTTGTGCTTGTGCTTCTTGGGCTTTTTTCTTTTTGTTTCTTTTCTTCCATCTCATATCTGGTCTGAGATGGCATGATTACACACATTCCACCTTTTTTCTACCCCTATTTGTGTCTCAAACCTTTATAATAAGTGACTTCTTGTAGTCTGCAGCTTGGCTTTTTCAAGTTGGGAAGAGCTTTGCTTAGCCCATTGCTAGACTGCTGCCAGCTAGATCTTCAAGATCAAATTAAATGATATGTACAGTTGGAATAGTATTCTGTGAGTACTTATGAAGAAAGCAGTCCTGGTTCCTCCCGTTAGAGATTTTTAAAGTCACCAGTTATATAGTGTAAATTGGCCATTTTAAACTTCAGTAAACCTGATCCAGTTTTATTACCCATATATCCATTTTGAGATGACTTTCAGGTGTTAAAAGCTTCTTTCAAAGAAAGGATAACAGGGATATTTGTGACTTTGAATGTAATAATGAACCATTATAAACAGTAGGAACTGGAACCATTTTTACCTTAATAATCTGAAGCTCAAAATTGTACTAAAAATGTTTTGGAATGTCTTAATTTTTACTTCTATATAGCCATCACATCTCTGTAATTATCTTTTATTGCTACTAAAGTGGTTAAATCTATAAATTATTAATATTAAGGGTTTGAAATTCTTTTGGAGAGATTTATCTGGATGTTCGCCTCAGACAACACCATCTAAAACTAGGCAGTCAGGTAGATTATTTATGGGATTTTACTGTTAAATAATTAAGTTCCAGAGCTTATATTTAATAGACACCAATACTTTTCATTTACATCCTACTATCTGTGTTCCACAGGGAAGTGCTTCCTGACTTACCTTTAAAATATTTTAAAAGTTTATTAAATTTCATGTTTTTCTCCTCAAAATAAAGCAGAGGTCCTAGACTTTATCTTGCTTCTTGAGCTTTAAGCGAATTATTTGGACTGCAAATAATGTTGGGAGCAGGGAATTGCTCAGATTGCTAACCTGAGTAGGTTGAAATTAGCTTTGTGAACTGTCATAAAAGATGTGAGGAGTGACAATCTTTTTTAGTGATAAAGGTAAAGCTTTGAGGTCCTTTGAAATAGTATCAACCGTTGGAAACTGCTGAGTTTTGTAGTACCCTTTTCGCAAGCCTAGAAGCACTGATAAGCATATTCACTTTTTCTCTTTTAATTCAAGTTCTTTTGAATTTTATGGATCATAAATTTTTCAAAAAACATTTTTCCAAAAACATTCTGAGTTCCGAATGGAAGAATGGGTAGTAGTTTAACAGTAAAGAAATATTAAAGTGCTAAATTTATAATGGTTTAGCTGGAAGTGCTGTTGGACTTGGTGTCATTAGCTGTGCCCAATTCTGTTACAGATTCTCCATCTCCTATTGCTGCAAGAACACTGATATTAGTGGCTAAATCTGTGCAGAACTTAGCAAATCTTGTGGAATTTGGAGCTAAGGTAAAAACATTTTGATACTTTAAAATGTAATTTATGAATGCAAGTTTGACATGATAAAACCATAAATTGTGGCTTAAGTAAATTTTTAGCAGTGAAATTTTTAGCGATGAAAGATTATTTTTGTTGGTATGTTTGTTTTTAAAGTAGCTTGTTTAAATTTTACATTTTAATAGTGGAACTTTAAAAAACACAAATTTAGCCATTATAGAAAACGAATTTTTCAAGGTCCAGTGTACTCAAATTCTCCCACTTTTAAACATAATCAATGAGTACATTTTAATACAAAAAGTCATTTAAAAATTTATTTCACAAACATTCACTGTAAATGTTAAAACTCAAGATTTTATTTTTTTAAACACCTACACTTAATTGTACTATCTAAGGATAATGACTGATATTCAGTTGGGATCATATCATGCCTCCTGCTTTTGTCACCTAATACGTGACAGACTTCTTGCCATATGTGGAAATAGATAACTCTTTCACTATTCTTAATAATGGATATTTAGATGGCTTCCATTTGTCCCTGTTATTGTTGTAACATATATTCTTGCATACATTTCCTTTCATACTTACTCAATTATTAGCTGAACTTTGGAGTAAAATCACTAAGTAAATACGTTTTAGGCTTTTGCTATGTGTTACAAGATTTCCTGTCAGCAATTTAAGATACTTTTATTGCTCCTCACAGCCTTGCCAGAACTCATTGGGTACTATACTTTTTTCTTTTTTGCCAATTGGATAGGCATAATATTTTGTGTTTCATTATTTTATTACTGTTAGAGAGACTTTCATGTCTTTATCTTTGGAATTGCCTATTGAGGTCCTTATCTCATTGAGTTTCTTACTGATTTTAAAAGAGTGTGTTAATCTTAACATTTTCCCTATTTATAGCATGGTTTTAAGTAGTCAGGATTTTAGTACGATGAGCAGTTAACTACGTGTATGGCCTAGGTTTTGAATTCATCTGAATCTTTGAGGCAGGTTACAAATAAGATATTTTCCTATTGCAGTCTTTATTATATTGTATTTTAATTCCCTGTAATCTCTGCTGGATTCAAACCTATGATTTGGGGCCATGTTTGAGTGAATTTATATATAAACAATTTGTGTCTGCCAGGCTATGTGTTACGATTTGTGCTTGGGTCCAGAATTTTCTTTCATTAAAAATACCCATACTCCTCAGTATAGCCATTTGCTTATATACTAGAAGGAAAATACTGTCATTATATGATTTAATTAATTCTTGTGAATGTGTTGCTGCTGCTACACCTAATTTATAAGAAGTATTGCTACATGTATGGGTTTTGCTATATTAATTTGGTGCAATAGTAATTGCAGTTTTTGCTGTTAACTGTAATTACTTTTGCACCAACCTAATAGATCAAACAGTGGTTTGTTTCTGGTGCATATAACAGAAGCATTTTATTTTTCAGGAGCCCTACATGGAAGGTGTCAATCCATTCATCAAAAGCAACAAACATCGTATGATCATGTTTTTAGATGAACTTGGGGTATGTATATAGTTTTCAGGTACTTTTTTTAAGACTTCTAGTTGATATAGCTGAGTTAACCCATTTAAGCAGCAATCTTTAGAAAGATTTTCTATCCAAAACTAAAAAGACAAAAAGCCTGCAAATTTTTGTCTGCCTTCCTAAACAAAAAACATATTTTTGTTTGTAATTAAAACCATTTATTCTTACACTAAATAGTTTACACCAAAGCATACATTATTGTGGCTTTTAGACTACTTCCATCATTTTTTAGGGTCTGTCTTGCTTTTCATATCCTTTTAAAGCTATCACATCTGACTGCCATGACATTCTGTTGCCTCCTTAGCTTTTTTACTTTGCTGCTACTATGTGGGGCGTGAAGCAAGACGATGACACAGTTCTGACCAGGTTAAATAAGTAGACTGAAAAGTCTTCTTTTCTAGGAATAAAAGACGTGGATTCGGTGTTACACTTCATTCAGTGTGAATATCTGTGCCTCATTTGGGCCTTGTTAATAAAATAAATTGTGATTACAAAATTACGAATGAGGGTATTTTATAATTTCTAGGACCCTGCCTTTCTTAATCAAGTTAAATTTTCATGATTGAACAGATTTTCAGGTACTGAGTCAGTTTTAAACTAAACTTATTAGTAATTCAGTTCATATACAGAGAAACCAGGAAGGTGCATGTACATGTGAATAGAGCCAGGTGTAAGGCATGGCATTAGGGAGTGCTAGGATTGGAGATTGAGGTGTCCATGTTCTGTCTTAATGTATTCAGATTCAGTTAAAAAGACCACCACAATTTGTGGCAAACAAATCAGGAATGCCGTTGAGTCACTAGTTTGCAACCTCAGGTATAAAAACTAGTGTATGAAAAATTATGGCATAGCTCCATATTTATAGTGAAATTTATAGTGAAATGGACAAAAATGCTAAAAGTCCATCATGCTTCTATATGTGAACTGGGATATAGTTGGTCAATCATTGGAAAATATTTTTACTATAATGTTTAAGGAACTGTGTGAGAAGTTATGCCACACAATCTAAGATTTCATACTGCTTAGAATCCAAATATAATACTACCATATTTCTTCACCACCTGTATAATAAGCCAAATTTATTTTTGAAGACCCACCTCAATTATTATCTCCTTCAGGAAGCTTTTGCTGAACCCCAAACATGAATAAAATAACTTTTGTTTTACCTCCTAAGCATCCCCTGTGTATCTGTGATATATAATTCTGTGTTGCTATGATTACTTTATTCTAAAGTCCTTTCTACTGGAGTCAGTTCTCTGAAGGCAAATATGGAGTCTTTCATCGCTATAAACCTTTAATCACTGAATGTATTCTGAGTAACTGTGTTTCTCTGTCCCATAGATAACATTGTTTTGCAGTTTTTAGCAATGTAAAGCAAATACTGTCACCATTTTACTGGTAATCCAAGCCCTTGTTAAATGTTATTCCAAGGCTTAAAATAACACTGGCATTTAGTGTCGATAATAAAGTACAGGTTGAGTATCCCTAATCTGAAATCTGAAATGCTAAAAAATCCAAAACTTGTTGAGCACCAACAGGAAATGCTATTTGGAAAATCTCCAATTTTGGATTTTTGGATTGGGGATGCTCAACTGGCAAGTATACTGCAAATATTCCAAAATCCGAAACACTTCTGGTCTCAAGCATTTTGGGTGATATTCAACCTATACTATAAACTTTCATTATAGTGACTAAGTTACTTTATGAACCTTATCTGAAAGTACCATAATTAACACTGATTATTCCCACACATTAGCAAGTATTCTGAGCATAGTCCACAGATAATTGCAAACCTGACAGGTTCTCATTGCATTTTCATAGTGCAGTTCCTACTTATATGCATTATCAACTTAGACAAACTACAGGAGCTTAATAATGAAATTTCATCTAGGAATTTTAAGTTTAGGCTGCATTTAATCCAGATTAGCAGTTAACCTACACTATTTGGCATATGTTCTAGATTTTTTCAGATACAAAGCTAATTGTTAGGAAGCCACACCCCCCACCCCTTATTTTTAGAATAGCAATAATATTGTACACATCTGTCATGCTACGGAAAAAAATGGAATCTGGCTTTCATGTGAATACAAAGGTTACAAAGTCTATATTTTACCATCATTAATACTGAATATTATATTTCAATAAGAATCTTTAGAATTTTAAGAGAAATTTGAGTATTAAAAAAATTATCTAATATACCCAATTAGAATCTTTTCACATGAGACTACAGAGAAAGATTTGTATTTGTAACAAAAAATTAGCTGGGCATGGTGGCAGGTGCCTGTAATCCCAGCTACTTGGGAGGCTGAGGCAGGAGAATCGCTTGAACCCGGGAGGCGGAGGTTGCAGTGAGCCGAGATCATGCCATTGCATTTCAGCCTGGGCAACAAGAGCGAAACTCTGTCTCAAAAAAAACAAAAAAAAAGAAGATTTGTATTTCTAAATGCAATTTTACGATTCCCTTAAAGAATGTACCTGAACTTCCGGACACTACAGAGCATTCTAGAACGGACCTGTCCCGTGATTTAGCAGCATTGCATGAGATTTGCGTGGCTCATTCAGATGAACTTCGAACGCTCAGTAATGAGCGTGGTGCACAGCAGGTAGGCTTTCGCCAGCCTTCATTAACAATGATGTTTCAAAGATAACACTTAGAGAGTTAATAAATAGCTGAATTCTGGTTAACATTTTTATCTTGTTACATTAAATTTTTGAGACTCTGCATCATATTACAAAAGATCTCAGCAGACAGAAATAACGGGCCCCGACTAAAATGATGTACATTTAATACTGAAAAACATCAGGTTTTGCTCTTGAGTCTGAATGTTAATTCTACTGGAAAACAGTGTAATAACACTTTGGTAGCATGTGTGAAAATGGCTAGTTAGTAAGTCAATATTGATTTTATTTTTTTTTCTTTCAGTTTCTGTCTTGTCTTTTCTCTGTCACATACAGATATAGTGCATGGCCAAAGTGATTCTCAAACTGTGAAACAAATGATTATTATTTGGGATGTTTGTCAAATTTCACATCCAGAGGTTCTGAAGTGTGGCCTTGAAAGCTGCACGTCTAACAAACTCTTAGAGGAATTTATAGGTATTCCGATGCAAGTGAACCATGGCCTACACTTTGAGAAACAGTAGACTACATTGATAGACTTCTATCTGCCATCTGCACCAAACAGATACAGATAAGGATGTATTCAAAGACCAGACCAGAATTTGAAGGGACTTAATACCAGGTCAATTAAGATATTGGAGATATAGAACAAAATGAGTTACACTTTGAATGTCCTCAGCTGACATAAGGGCTACTGAGAGGAAGTGACCACAGGGACAGTTTTGACTAGTTTCTAATGTAGTTTCAGGAGATAGTGAATGCTGTCACCGCACTGGCTAACCATTTGGCAGGGATTTTGTAGAAGGGATTAAAGCATTGAGTTTGGTGACTGAGTTCTCTACAACCTGAGATTCTAGAATCCTCAAGTCCTGTTTCTCCCCGCCCCTCCCCCCGCAGCTTTCAAAACTAATAATATGACTTGACTTGCCTTAGATATTAAATAAAAAAAGCCTTTTTTAAAAGAGAGATAAACTGCTTCTGACAACATGTGATAGTGTGATAGTTCTGGCCTAAAAAATAGGAGCATGCCAAACACAAACAAATTTCTGTTCACTTTAGGGTATAAAAATTCTCTTAGTTATGACCAGAAATACTCAGCCAATGACTGAATAATAGAGACTTATGTTTTGAGGGGAATTGTGGTAATATTTTATGCATCCTTTTGCTTTGATACAGTTTTTTTCAAATCCAGGTTCCCATCCTGAAATTGCTGACCGAGCTTTCATTTATTTTCATACCATTTTTCCTCTGTCTAGCACGTATTGAAAAAGCTTCTGGCTATAACAGAACTGCTTCAACAAAAACAAAACCAGTATACAAAAACCAATGATGTCAGGTAGCAGCCTTCGCCCCAGTGTTCTGCATGGATTCAGCATGTCCAACATGGTAATTCACTTCAGTTTAATGTCTCCTTTGCTCTTGCCAAAAAATAGCACACTTTTCCACATTCCAGTGATGTGTGAGCTATGCAAACAAAATCCAAGATTCTGCTGGTGAATAACTATGCCAGCAACCTTGTAAGCTATCTGTGCAGGATATTTGCACTATTTCCACATGGAATCAATCTTTAACAACCTCTGAGCCTTGGTGTACAGACCACCTTTCACAAAACGAAATGCTATGACTGTATCTTGATATCTCGAACTTTCAAAATATATTTTCAGTACACCCAGTTGCCAAAGTTTTGCTGTCTCTTAGAGAAAGAACTATGAAATCAACTGACAAGAAACACATTCTTATTGACAATTGTGTATAACTGGATTGCAGACTGTTCTTACTGTAACTACTTCCTGATTAGGAATATGACCATTTGACTGTTCAATGATTATTTGTATTTACAGTTTCCAGAGTTTGTCATTATAATAGGAACAATCTTTGCTGTATACTTTTAAAAAATACTCTGCTATTTCTCTTGCTGGAACTGTTGAAAGAAAATATATAGAATGATCTATTGCTCATCAGCTTTATTTTTTAAACATACGACTTATTTTGTTGAAATTGTCAAAGACTGTATTTAGATCTCATAATGCTTTGTTAAATGTTTACAAGTAAATAGTTTGAATTCAGTAAATATTATTGGTTGTTGTATTGATCAATGCATGTTACCCATTCAACCATTTTATAGACTACCAATTTCTTTTATGTTAACTAGAATGCTTTTGTTAAAAGTTATTTGTTCATTATTTGTGCTACCCCTTTGATTATGCAGACAACCTCATCAGCTGCCTAACTTATCCATCTTTGAACTTCTGACTACTTGTTGTATCTGCTGGATATTTAGTTCAACTGTATAGTTTTATTTACTTCTGTATGTGTATTTTTGTGAAGTATTCACAAAGGTTAAGTTAAAATAAAACCAAGGGATATCTTGCATAATTGATTACTTCTGTCTAAAAGAGCTAAGCATTTAATTTATTTATTTTCTTCCTCCTTCAGGGGCAGTTTAAACCTTAGCATCAGAGCAAGGCCCAGGGAGAAGCTGAAGCTTTAGATTAGTATTTTTGCTAATGGCCTCTTTTGAAAAGGATTTTATAAATGCAATAATTCCTTCCCTCTCATAATTGTGCAGGGCAGATAGATAGGACATATGGAACATACGTGGCAGAATGACATTGGTAATCAAAGTGAGTGAGACAGGAACCCAAGGAGGTGTTCCCACAGTAAGGAAAGCCCTAGATTCCAAGAGCAACACTTTATGCTATTCCTCTAATGTATAAAATACAGGAAAAAAAAATGCTAAGGGCTTAAAAGATGTCTGCTTAGTAGTTCCAAGCTACAAAAGGCAGTTATTTCTATGGGGGCTGCTAACCTATGTGGCTTCAATCACCGTTTAACACTGATACCAAAAATCTCAACATGTCCCATGCTCCTTTTCCTTGAAATCAGCTCAATTCATTCCATTCTCTCCCTTCTTGGCTCTTTTATCAAATTACTCTCCTTTCCACCCCTTCTGTTTTTTAGCTGGACTTGGACCAACATAGTATCCCAGGTGGTCTCCTTCCTTGGTTACATGATAGAAGACAGGGAGGATATGGATTAGTCAAGATATTTTTGCTGTGCACTTTGGCTCCCATTTATCACACCTCAATCTTTAGCCATACTAACCTGTCATTCCTCAGTCTGAAATCCTTCTCCCTTTTATTTAAAATCACAAACCTGACTTACCCTGCTTCTTATATTTTAACATCATTTGTCTCTCAAGTTGAAATGGAAACTTGTTACTTACCTTTGTAGGCCCTCTAGTAACTAGCTTGTCAGTGTTGAAATAAAATCTCTCACACTTTAACGTTTTTAATGGGGCTGGGTGGGAAAATTTTCAGTGATAAGTGTGGACCTTGCTCTGATGCCAAAGTTTGGCGATCTGAAAGGGAAAATGAGACAAATTGTGAACATCTTGTAATTCTGTCTAGAGCCTAGCAGCAATATATTTAACTAGGACTGCGATGGAGGATTTATAACTTTTGGCTTCTTCCACTCTGCTTTTGTAAAAATCTCACATCACGAATTTTATTCCTTTCACTCTGGAATGAGAAAAAAAAAAAACCCACAAAACTCAAGCCTACAGTGTAAAGAATTATTGTTAGAGAGATGAATATGCATATAGTAAGTATTGCCTTAAAATAGATGTAACTATAATGGTACCTACCTTTCTGGAAAGTACAGCCTGGGATGTACTGAGACTGAGGAGGTGTGTGTATTTGTGCAATTTAATTAGATTCAGGACACTTGAATTACTCGGAATTCCTTCAAGCCAGTTTTCCTGAAAAAAATCTGGCTTGGTAAACAGACGTCCACAGTTTGGTTCCAATTATAATAGTTAACACTTACTGAATACTAGTGTATGCAGGTACTATTCTAATTAATCCTATGAAGAGTAGGCATTTTTATCTTCCCCATTTTCAGTGTGGGAAACTGGCACTTAGAGGTTTAATAACTTACCAAGGTCACATAGTGAAATACAGCTGGCCATGATTCATATGTAAGTAATTTGCTGTAATAGTCTGTGCTTTCATATTTTTATATTGACTCATTTCAATTTGAATTACATTTCTCTAACATATTTAATCTGCAAAATTCCTAGTAACTGTTATAATCTACTTACACGGATTCACTTATAGGATCTAATAGGTTAATTATAAGGCTGTGGTGATGTGTGCCTGTAGTCCCAATTACTCAGAAAACTGAGGCAGAGGATCACTAGAGCCTAGGAGTCTGAGACAGCCTGGGCAACATAGCAAGACCTTACATCAAAACAAAATTAAAAAACAACCACAACTGAATATACAATTTGCTGCTACCTACTTATCTATACTAGCGTAAGAGTTTGATGTAGACAGCTATTCAAAATCATATATCTGGTTTTTTTTAAAAACCCATTTGGAAATGTTTTCGGGTAACTAAAGAAAAATAATATTCATTACCCAGACGACTGGCTTTCAGTACCATGTAACAGTTGAAATACCTTCTGCAGTTTAATAGTAATGGACAAATAGCTAAATATATCAGGATGGCATTCAAAAAGCCATTTATAAAGGTTTCTAGAGGGCAAAACACATTCCTTAACACTTTTAAAGCTGGCTACTAAGTTTTGTTTTTTGTGGTGCCTTTTTTAAAAAAAGCATAGGTTTGCCTATCATATTTTGCTTAAAAAATTAGGCAAATGAGTTGCAGCTTTAATTTGATATTAGTCACGATGGAATAAGAATATTCAAAACAGGTGCTATTCTAGCTCTTTTGAAGATGGTTTATTTTACATAAAGTTACTGTGAAAGGGAAAGAAAACAATAGAAAAGTTTTAATATATTTTATGTTTTCACATTATACTTTTTAAATAAAGTTAAACGTTTGATATGCTTCCTACTTCTCTTGATTAGTTAGCATTGAGAAATCAACTTCAAATGGTTAGAGAGATTCTACCAGGTCGTCATCAGTCCATTCTTCCTAAGAAGGAAAAAAAGTGTGGTAAGGATAACACTGAAGCATAACCAGTATTGTTTACCTCTTACCTCCCTTTAAGAAAATGTTCTCCTCCTTTTACCCATGTGGATTACAAAAGATAAACCAGGAAATTTTGTAATAGTTCACTGTTAGTAATGTTGGCATGGTCTCACCAGACTCCTCCAGTGAGGAATAAAGGTTATGGCTGTGACCTTTTGCCTCTGATTATTCACTTATTTGACTTGACAGATAGAAAATTTTTTTTAAAAGGGGGTAAGGGAAAAATCCTTGGAGAATAAGAAAAAAAGCAAAAATGTAGTATGTATACATATTGCTTCTGCTTTCTATGAACACAGGAAGGATTCTTCATTAAATAAAGACAGAAGAGAGAAAAATCCCTTTAATAATGGACAACAGTACTGTACGTAAGGAAGTATGCAAAAAATGAAAAAACCCACAACTCTATAATGCCTGTACTCTTGGAGAATAAATCTTAACAGTATAGTCACACCAGAATGTATAACAAAAATAACTTAGAGTTCATCTTTGGAGTAAAACATACCTCCTCATGTTTGGATTTCTTTGAGACGTAATCATCATCTTCATAGCCTTTCCTCTTCTTCCTATAATTAAGCAACTATCAATAAGCAATCCAATACCAGCCACAGAAACTATAAAATGTAAAATAAACTAGCAAGGCTATAGGCAATATCATGTATCTACTGAACAACAAGGCCAGGATAAATGGAAAAAGATAAACAGCTATGGGGTAGGGAAAATGATACTTTTACAATCAATCTTTAAATTAAATGCAATTCTAATTAAAACCCTAATAAAATTTTTCATGGAATTGTCAAATCTAACACTGACCTAGGAAAGAGTGTGAAAAAATAGGAGCGAATATAAAAAAGAACAGTGTTGGAGGACCTTGTCCCAGTTATCTTTAAAGCACACTACAAAAGCTACGGTAATTAAAAGTGAGATATTAAACAGATCAATGATCAGACTAGATAAGCAAAGTAATGACTATGCAGAAGGATGAATTTAATGTGTGATAAGAAGTGTTTCAAGTAACTAGGAAAACATGAAATAAAAAATGAGCTGGGACCTGCTGGGCACAGGGGCTCACAATTGTAATCCCAGCTCTTTAGGAGGCCGAGGCGTCAGATCGCCTGAGCCCAAGAGTTTGAGGCCAGCCTGAGCAATGTGGCGAAACCTCGTCTCTACAAAAAAATTAAAAAATTAACCAATGTGGTTGAGCACCTGTAGTCCCAGCTGCTGAGAGGCTCAGGTAGGAAGATCACTTGAGCCCAGAAGGCAGAGGGTGCAGTGAGCCAAGATCAAGCCACTGCACTCCATCACACCTGGATGACAGAGAGAAGACTTTTTCTCAAAAAAGCGGGGTGTGGGAGCTGGGGCAAAAATTAGTATTTGGAAAAAAGTTGTGAAAAACAATAGAATATATCATATATAAATAATATATCATATATAAATAAGTACAATCAGCCTTCTGTATCCTGTGGGTTCCACATCTGTGGACTAAACCAACTGCGGATTGAAAATAAGGAAAAAAATTCTATCTGTACTGAACATGTACAGAATTTTTTCTTATTATTCCCTCAAGAATACAGTATAACTATTTACATAACATTTACATTGTATTTAGGTATTATAAGTAATCTAGAGATGATTTAAAGTATATGGGAGGATGTGTATAGGTTATATGCAAATACGCCATTTTGTATTAGGGCATCTGTGGATTGTGGTTATGAGCAGAAAGTCCTGAAACCAATCCCCCATGGATACTGAAGGATGACTGTATATAGAATCTATAAAGCACTACAAACCACAAAAATGTGGCCAGGTGCAGTGGCTCACGCCTGTAATCCCAGCACTTTGGGAGGCTGAGGCGGGCGGATCACGACGTCAGGAGCTTGAGACCATCCTTGGCTAACACGGTAAAATCCCGTCTCTACTAAAAATACAAAAAAAAATTAGCTGGGCATGTTGGCATGCACCTGTCGTCCCAGCTACTTGGAAGGCTGAGGCAGGAGAACTGCTTGAACCCGGGAGGCAGAGGTTGCAGTGAGATCACGCCACTGCACTCAAGCCTGGGTGACACAGCAAGACTCCATCTCAAAAACAAACAAACAAACAAAAAAGCCAGAAAATTGGGCAAAGGGGATAAATAAGCAATACAGATGAAATATAAGTGACTGTTAAGTATGGAAAGTTCAATGTCCCATAATCAAGAAAATGCAAATTAAAATACCAATGTGATACTTTTTCACCCAGACTAGCAAAAGCTAAGCATTGATAATCACCCATTGTACAATATGTATGAAAAATGCAAAGAAGAAAAAAACGCTGCTTATTTCATAAATATATGGATATACGTGCAGAGAAAAGGCTGGCAAAGGTAAACAACTGCTAAGTAACTTCTGAGGTCATGACAGATTTGGGTTTTGATCAAAGGGAACTTTGGTTTCACTTGTATTGACTGACAATGACAAAACAGTTTTTGTGTCATGAAAACTAAAGGTAAAATAATTTTGAAGATCAAGGAAAACAAATATTTAGTCCTAAAGTAGCACTACTCATGGTAGCAAGTACCAGAGCTGGTCCATGAACAGTTTCCAGTTTGCAGTGAGTTAAGTACAGGAATTGTGTTTCATAATTTTTTTTTTGTTTTTTTTTTTGAGACAGAGTCTTGCTCTGTTGCCCAGGCTGGAGTGCAATGGCGTGATCTTGGCTCACTGTGACCCCTCCAGGGTTCAAGCAGTTCTCCCTGCCTCAGTCTTACAAGTAGCTGGGATTACAGGCACCCACCACCACGTCCAGCTGATTATTGTATTTTTAGTAGAGACGGGGTTTCGCCATGTTGGCCAGGCTGGTCTCGAACTCCCGACCTCAGGTGATCCGCCCGCCTTAGCCTCCCAAACTGCTGAGATTACAGGCATGAGCCACTGTGCCCGGCCCTAGAAATTTTTAATAGCAATTTGATATAATAATTTTATGACTGCTGAATCTAATAAAACTTGAGCTTATGTTTTTGTCTTCACTTTTCTAGTAATTCATTTTTTATTGAATTTTACAAAAGTATACATCTAGTGATTTTTTTTTAAAAAAGTCCTTCGCAGTTTGAGAAGCACCCCTCAAGTACTCATAGATATTCAGAATTTGGCCCAGTACAAGGCAGATGGCAATCTGGAATACAATGTAAGCTATGGCAGTTAAGAATTTTGGATTATGGTCCATTCAGTTACTTAGCTAGAAAGGGTAGGATTAGTAGTTCAGTGGTCTAATCCAGGGGTGGATAAACTTTTTCTTTAAAGAGACAGTAAATATTTTCGGCCTTGCAGGCCCTATAACCAGTTTCTGTTGCAACTACCTAACTTTTCTGCTGTATCATGAAAATAGCCATAGGTGATATATAAACGAATAGGTGTGCTACATTCCAAGAAACTGTGTTCTAAAAACGCTAATGGGCTGGATATGCCTGGTAGGTAACAGTTTGCCAACCCCTGGTCTAATCCCATTTCAAAATCAATGCAAAAAGGACATAATCAGTGCTGCAATACTTTTATTCATTAAAGTCAACATTACTTCTCTGTAACCACTCTGAAAAATTCCTGTTACCACTGAAACCGAGGAGTGAATGAAATCCACCAATTTCAAGTTCTATGCTAAAACATGCTTTGTCGTTATACCTATAACTATAATAAAACAACCTCATATTCTGCACACTTCCTAAGTCCGTAGATATTCCCCAACTACAACTGTATAGGTAAGGAATTTGAGTCATGTGTATTTGACATAAAGGCCTTGGAATTGCTGTTCTGGCTTTTCATAGTTATCCAGCAGCACATATTCACCAATTACAGAAATAATACCTCAAATACATCTTAAATATAAGATGCCACAGATAACTCCCATTAAATTTTAACAAATAAGGTATAACTTTAAGTAACAAAATGCATCCCACAGGAAATAGAAAATGGCAGTTTCATTAATCCTAGTACCTGTCCAAATTCC
Organism: Homo sapiens; assembly: GCF_000001405.40. Classification (NCBI taxonomy): domain Eukaryota; kingdom Metazoa; phylum Chordata; class Mammalia; order Primates; family Hominidae; genus Homo; species Homo sapiens. The sequence continues at coordinate 87,398,517 of NC_000005.10, forward strand.
CAACTGCTTAAACACCTAAAAAAGAAAGTTTCAGTGGATCTTTCAATTTGCAAAGCACAAATTGCCAATTTTATGGTGATTTTCACATTCAGCTTACAAATCAATTAAGAGACATTAAAGGTGTTCTTATGGCTAGCCACAAGAAGAAATTACATGGCCTCTTTTCCTATTGGCTTTGTGGTCACTATAAAGTTTGTCACTGAAAGAAGTATGCCGGGAGGCCAAGGTGGGCGGATCATGAGGTCAGGAGATTGAGACCATCCTGGCTAACACGATGAAACCCCGTCTCTACTAAAAATACAAAAAATTAGCTGGGCGTGGTGGAGGGCGCCTGTAGTCCCAGCTACTCAGGAGGCTGAGGCAGGAGAATGACCTGAACCTGGAAGGCAGAGCTTGCAGTGAGCTGAGATCGCGCCACTGCACTCCAGTCTGGGCAATAGAGCGAGACTCCATCTCAAAGAAAAAAAAAAAAAAGAAGTATGCCAACTTTCTCTACTCTAGCTAACAGAAGTCTGGAAGAGCATATTTGTTCCTCAGACCAGATATCACAACTTCAAAGAGACAAAAGATTAAAAGGACAGGAAAAGGTAAAAGGATTCCTTAGGAAGACCCTGACCCCTGAAATCCCATGAGAAGTAACAGAACAGGACAGGGCCTGCAAGCCAAAGAACATATGAGTCACAGCAGGATCAGAACTGCACAGTGAATGCCGAACTATTACCTTAATCTCATTAGAAATGTCCATTCAATAAAGAAAATCTGATTTTATGGATCAGTCAGCTTTCCTCTAATGAGCAAACACCAATAAAATGATTTACGAACCAGCTGGACTGGATAACAGTTATGTCTATTGATTAACACTGTCACATTAACTTACGTGATTACGTTAAGTGCAAGCTCAGCAGAATGACATCGCTCCAACTTCTGTTTCAGAACAGCAACTTCTTCAGATCTGGGTGGTTCATACTTCTTTACTAAGTTTCTCATGCCTATGTGGATACAAAAAAAGAATTTAAACTGAATAAGCAAACCTCCTTCTCATAGTAAGGGAGCTGGTTACTTTTCCATTTTGTCATAGGAAACAACACTCTTCAAATGACATGGTTATTCTCAGGATTTGCATCATTCTGCATTTCATTCTACATTAAAATCCAATAAGCACTGTATGTTTAGTTCAAGTAATTATGGCTCTCTGCTGTTTAGCCCATATCATATACAGCATAAAGCACACTATAATCTAGCATTAATTTTTGGCAAATCCTACTGGGGTCACTTCTTGTTCAGTTTTAAGACTTAAAAAAAAAATCCCTAAATGATTTAGTGAACATGTTTTGTTCTCTATCACCAACCATCTTCGTAGTATTCTATTCCATAGACAGTGGGCCAAGCATATACTTCCTGTTTTCAAAGGAAACTGTTATTACACAACATGCAATAAAGGGAGGATGCTCAGTAAAAATTTGTTAATAATCCTTTGCTTTAACAAAACGCAAACCCTATACAAAAATGTCCACTTTAGGTTAAAAGCAAACTACTGTATCAGTAACTTTATAATTGCAAAAACATCCTCTAGCTGATCTTGTTATTCAACTATAATAAACCAAAGAATACAAATTTCAAGATTAGGGGAATGATGAGAGATCCAATGGGCTTATTATTACTATTAGCCAGCCATGTGATCCAAATGACTACACTACTGACCTATTTCATAATGCAAACAAAGCAGTATTTTTAACTGAATTAATACTTGTAACTCAACACCCTTAGGACAGTATCTATGTTCCAAAAATTACAAATATCTTAGTAGCATTAAACTTCTGAGTGTTTTATGAAGAGCTGTTTTTATTTCATTTTAAAACAAGTGGAGCAAAATAAAGGTATTGAGAAGAAATCAGTAATAAAACTAAGCTATGAAATGAGTACAGTGGAATAAGACCTTTACCTACTAAATTCTATGATCCTAACAGCTACAGTCAAATCACAATTAGCTTTTAAAGTGTACCCCCTAGTGGTATAACTAAAGACCTACAGTTTATAATTCATAAATCACAGCCATCATTCTCAAAGGAAGCCCTCAGGATCACTTCGAGCAGAGAATCAGGAAATGATACATAGATGCCCTGAAGCATCTTAAATTTTAAAACACAAAATATATAAAATGTATGCCCATTTACTGTCATCGAAAATCAAGATTTCAATCTTATATTCTACTGGTTTAATATTTAATTACAATACACATTTAATTAACAAGAACAATTTACACAAGAAGGTTTGGAAACAAACATGATCGACTTTTAACCCCAAAGAGTAGCTTAGCAGCCATGACCAAGTGTGCCACGGTCAAGAATGGAGAATGCTGGCTAATCCAGCCAATAAGTAAAGTAGAGATTCTACTCAACTCTCAACACCGGCACTAATGACAGGGTTTCTCAACACCAGCACTAATGACTTTTTGGGCTGGATAAGTCTTGATTACGCAGGGCTGTATTAGTTTCCTGACATTGCTATTAAAATTATCACAAAAGTGGTGGCTTAAAACAACGGAAGTGTATTCTCTCATAGTTCTGGAGCCCAAAAGTCTGAAATGTTTCACTGTGCCAAAATTAAGGTGCTAGAAGGGCCATACTCTCTCTGGAGGCTCCAGGGATGAATCCATTCCTTGCCTGTTCCAGCTTCCGATGGCTGCCAGCTTCCTTTGGCTTGCAGCCACATCACTCCAATTTTCAAGGCAAGCATCTTTAATTCTTTCTCTGCTGTCTTAACAGTGCCTTCTCTGAGTGTGTCAAATCTCCTTCTACCTTTCTCTTAAAAAAATAATTTATCTACAAAATAGAAGTTCCAAATTTAAACATTATCCTTAAGTTATTTCCCATTACATCTTTTTCAGTGCCTAGTATGTTTCTTTATTCTTTAAAAGGATCCTGTTGTCAATCTCTAAATCCTTTCTAAATCTGACTCTATTTTCACTCTTTGCATAAGTTCTATATAAATGAACACTACTTCCTTCTATATACCTTCTATTTGTTCTAGACCAATGTGTCTTTCATGCTTCCATAATACAGTAATTCAATGAAAAGAAATCTAAACAAAAATCTGTTATATTTCTAGTTAAACACCAAGAGATTTATTTAGAAAGGAGCTTTGTATTGGAAGAAACATTTTGTAAAGTGTTCTCTTTTACTTACTTTTCATTATATCTAGTAACTGTGACAGGCAAGTTCTGTTCTCTTTCAGCATCAGACTCTCTGATAAATAACTAGTAAAGAAAAGAAAAAAAAATCTATTGAAAACATACAGCACATTGAGAAAACATGACATCATAAATTATTTTCCTCCATCCTCATCAAAGGCAATTAAAAAATTTTTAAATTTATGAATGTATAATCTGTAACTCCTATATTTTAAGGATTTATTACCACTTACATTAAAAGATGTTTATTGTTCCTTTAAGTTTAGTGACATTCAGGTACAACCTTTCAGAGGGAAAATAGTATGAAAGCAACAGTAATAGCCAGTACTTATAACATTTATATCTTTTAATATAGAAGCCCAATAAGGCTAACCTTATTTTACAGATGAGGAATCTGAGTTACAGGGATGAACAAGTCATGATCTTGTAACTTGCCCAAAGTAATAAAGCTAGGAAGCAGCAAAACTGGAATCTGGCACTAGTAAGGATTCTCTATTCCCTTAATATGAAAGCCATTTTATCTATAGTTGCACTTCTGTGGAGTAACAGACATTCAAACCAACAAGACTACCACCTAATGCTTTATAAATCTATTGCATCTTATTTGCATCAAGTCCAAATCAAAGGTGTTAAACTTACTTATCAATGTGATATAAAACCCAAATTACCTGTTTTTCTCAGAGCCACTGACAGTATGAAAATATAATTTCTATATTAAAATTTCAGTTACTCTGAAGTTTTACATACCTGAACTTGACCTATGATTGATAAAAGGCGAAATGAACAGATTCTCAAAATGTTAAATAGTTTTTCAAACACAAATGCAAAAAACTTATTTTTCTCTTGGGGGTAATAGTTAGAAAAATAGAAAGCAATGCTTTAAGAACTCTTGTTGCTGTCTTTATCCAGATTTATTTAAATTTTATTATAAAGTTTGGTAACTGTTTGATATTACATCATCATCATCTACTGTGGGAATAAATTTTGGATCTGAAAATCAGGAAATCTCCTGACAACTAATCCATTTCTGGCTACCAGTAATTCAAAATAACTAGTTTTTTCCTTTCCCTCTCCTACCTAAAATTCCTCCCATTTTTGTCATCTTCCTTTATTTTTACTCTTCATTTCCTTTTGATTTCTTAAGCATAAGGGTCATAGGTTTGGTGCTAAGAGTTGGCTGACTAGACTCATTATCTCTGTGAAGTTAGCAACTCTTAACCTCAATTTTGAATTTGAACTTATAATATTGTGGTGTTTTAATAAAATCCACAGGCAATAAGAATACCTAAAGTAGCAGATGAAAAATAAAGCTCTAAATCTGCAAGAAAGAGAAGAAAATCCAGAAATAACGGTAATAATCCTATGATTAATAATCTGAGGCATTATCCAGACTATGACAACAGCACAGGGGCTTTCCCTTTTGAAATCAGCAATAAATGTAAAGCTCATTTCCACATATCCCAAAAATTTGCCTGTAAATCAGCTGTAAGTTAAAAACGTTTGGAAAGCATTTCCCTAAAGGAAAAAAAAAAAAAAAAGGCCCAATGTCTAGTCTCTGGGAATGTTACGAAAGCCTATTAAATTTGCAAGGAGCCAAAGGTATGGCAATTTCAATTTTGCCTTCCTGGAATTATAATGAACTAAACTTCTAAGATGAAATAAATTCATTTGGACCTTCACTGAAGAATTTATAGATGCACTATATACAATGCTTCAAGATTAATCAAACTTTTGGTTATTTGAATTGTGGAAAAGAGGACTTTTGTTCCCTTACAGAATGAAGTCTGCAGGCCAGGTATGGTGGTGTGCACCTGTCACCCCAGCACTTTGGGAGGCCTAGGCAGGAGACTACTCGAGTCTAGGAGTGACTGAGATGAGCCTAGGCAGCATAGGGAAACCCCAACTCTACAAAAAAAACAAAAAGATTAGCCAAGGTGTGGCGGTGTGTGCCTGTGGTTCCAGCTACTCAGCAAGCTGAAGTAGGAGGATCGCTTGAGGCTGGGAGGTTGAGGCTGCAATGAGCTTTGACTGTGCCACTGCATTCCAGCCTGGGTGAGAGTGAGATGCTGTCTCAAAAAAAATAACCACCCAACCCCCACAAAATTAATGGAAGTCCACATCTTAACTCCATATACATCAGTAATTTACATGACTATCTTTCCTAACACAGAGATTTATCTTATTCATACTCCTAAAGTGTAGTACAGTGCATAGTAGTACATAGAAGGTATCTAATAAATGTTTGCTTAGTAAATAAGTGGAGATATAAATCACTTTGGGATTAAACGTATACATTTATATACAGTTGGTGAGCTGCGTTTGCAGAGAACAGGCATATCATAAATAAAATATAAACCTACAATCCCTTATCCTAGATGCAGATGTGTTGCGAAATTCTTATTAATAAGTATTCATGTCTTAGAAAAGTTATCTGGTGTATATATTATGAAATGTGAAATACCCAAGTGATGTCTGTAATCAGGAATATTAAGATTTCTGCAAGGGAACACAAATATTCCTATTAAGTGAAATAAAAACTAAATACAATCTGCTCTATTTGCTGCCACCTTATCAATGGATTCTGAAATTATGGATAAGGGATTATAATCATGTAAAATAGTTTTAATTAACTTTAGGAAGTTTTATCATCTTTCTTCCTCAGCTATTTCTAGGAATGAAATCAAGCAGAACCTCAAAGGTCATAAATTGAGAAACTTAATATAGAAACTAAAAATGTCTAATTGGCTGCTAGCTTGTGCTTCAGTTAGTTAACAATATTTAACTTCCGCGTGTCATACATGCTCTACAGAAGGGGAATAAAGATAAAACAAGGCAGACATTTGCTGCACTCAAGTTGCTCACCAGTTCACAGGAACTTCTAAATTTGTCATATACTGATAGCTATATCAGTCTTTCAAGGATCACCTGGTTTACTTCTACTTTAATCCTAAATGTATCCTCTTAGTTTAACAGTATTTTTCATGATGTTTAAAGATTTCCTCAAAAGGCAATTTCATTTCTTCTTCTCACCAACCATCCCAGCCACAAAGAATATTAAAGATTACAGTCAGAAATGATTCTATGAATAAATAAACCCAGTGACTGAATTTGACCTAAGTTAAAAAACTAATTAATACCTTTCCATAGTAATTCCAGCCCTGGAGGCACTAGATAAAATGGCAGTCAGGGCAATTTGGGAAGGTGTGTATAAAAGGTAAGCATCCGTCAATGCAATTCTATTAAGAAAGTCATCAGCTGTTTTCCTCAAAATCTCTGGATTCTCCAATATGGGATAGCGGGTCTACAAAGAAAGTTTGCAAATGTTACCATTTCTGAGGGTTTAAATGGAGTATAACAACAGTTTAAAAATTACACAACTCCTATTAAGAAATATATGCTATAACATATCTAAAGTTCCTAGCACAGTAATTGACACTGTCCTCAATTTACATTAATCCCTTCTCTTGGTCCTTTTCCACCTGAGTAGGAAGGGGAGGGAAGGGAAGCTCTTAGAGATTCCATTGAGTCTAAAGTAGGGCCAAGAAATACATATTCCCAGGTAAATGCTTCTCTCAGGCAACCCAGGTGATTCAAATGTAAGGCCACATGTAGGAATACACCTTATTTTTATATGAAATTCCTTCTATTTAAAATTTGCTTTCAGGAAGAAGTAAATAAAAATGAATCTCGATTTGATTAGAACACACTAGACTTCGAATTCCCACAGAAAAAGTTTTAGAGTATGCCCAAGAGATGTGGAAGACCTCCTATTTCCTGACAGTTCTTCATACCCTATAAAATAAACTATAAATCCTAAGTCCTCAGATATCCATATGCAACACCTAAAGCACTAAGAAAGCTTTTCTACACTCTGAAACAAAATATTCAGAGTCAATTATGCAAAAATGCCTCACCTGTGATATGACAAATTCAGACCCACTACTCTGACCACAATGCCTCCCTTTCTAATATATTTACTCATTTACTTCACAGCTGTTCTCCCTCCTCTGAACCTTTGCTCACTTATCCCTCTACTTGCTCCCACTCACCAGTGTCCTCTGGTCCTCATTTCTCTCCTGAATTCCCTGCCCCAATATGCTGCCAACAAATTTCTGGCAAAACCAGAAACTGAACAGTGGTTGAATCCAACAAACTTTCGCTTTGCAACTATACCAAGATTTCTGAGGGCTGCCAGAGAAAACCATACAAGCAGAAGTCTGGTAATGTTACTATAAACTCATGTTCATTGACCTCAGCAAGGCTCTTAAACACTGCCAAGCAACCATAGTATTTCCACAGACAATTGACTCTCCTATTTTTCAGTGACTGCATAAATATTTTCCATCTGTCTTAATGTCTTTGATAATTCTCAGAAACTCCATCACTCTCAGAAAACTATCTCTTACCAAAGAAAGGCGCTATTTCCTGTCAACACCAAATCCTGAGGCATAACAGTATCCTAACCCATGATTTCCCCTTTTCCACTGTTAAGAGAAAGAGCTATTATTCCCTCTAAGGCCAGTTCTTATACCTTGCTTCCAAATCCCATGCCAACCCCCTTCCATCTTACTCCAAAGAGACTATTTTGTATTTCATCTTGCTCTCACTACTAGCTCTTTGCCTCAGTATTTAAATGTGCATCAGTCTCTTCCATAAAACAAAACACAACAACAAAAAAACTCTCACCCAGTCAGAAACCTGGGGGTTCTTCCTCTGTCTTCATCTCTATATGCAATCAATCCTCATGTTCTATTGATTCTACCTAACTACAGGCTAAGCATCACAAATCCAAAAAATTCAAAATCCGAAATGCTCCAAAATCTGAAAGTTTCTGAGCACTGACATGACACTCAGGAAATTCTCATTGGAGCATTTCAGATTTTGGATTTGGGATGCTCAACCAGTAAGCACAATGCAAATATTGCAAAATCAAAAAAAAAAAAAGTGTAATCCCAAGTACTTTTAGTCCCAAATTTTTTAGATAAGGGATACTCATCCTGTATCTCTGAAGCCCAGGAAGCTCTTTCTGTATCCACAACCTTCATACGAGTGAAGCCCAGCACTATCTTTTGCTTGGACTCCTTTAACGGTACCCTGTTATTGACTTAATCTATTCTAATCCATTCTCCACGTTATGCCTGACACATACAGATGCGCGATAAATACCTGATCCATAAGGTTGCCAACATGATCTTTTAAAGCTGCAAATCTAATCATGCCACTCTCTAAATTTAAACCTTTCACTAGCTTCTCTTTGCTGTATTCAAAATCTGTAACATTGTCTCCACAGTCTAGACTCTGCCTTCCACTCTGGCAGCAGCTGTCTGTGATCTCTTCCCCCTGCATTGCTAGGCTCTGTTCAGGCTCTTCAGCACGGAATGGTTTCTTGAATTTGAGCTTTTTACCAGGGAAGTCTCTGATTGGAATGTTCTTCTCTCTCCTATTCCTACTCTGAATTTTATTTTAAATGATACGTTCTCAGAATGTTTTCCTTACCCCTTAATCTGTTATCTCCCTCTAAAATATATTTTCCCCTCTGTATCATTGAGCACACTGGATATATGATTGTCTAAAACCTTTAGATTGTAAGGTTCACAAAAGTTGAGACTGTTCCTGTCCTATTTCTGGTTACATCCTCAAGCACAAAGTTTGGCACATAGAAGGTACCCAAATTGAGCCACTGATCTAACATGAATGAACCAATTCCTGATTTGATTCGACTCAGACTATCCAACTTCTCTTTTAGAGCCAAACAAAACAACTTAAAAAAGTTGCTTTTGTCAATGTTTGTTTACGTATATTATTGATGCCTACATAGTGACTTAAGTTCACAAACCTCTAAAAATATAAGTCACTTAGCAATCTTCTAGTTTAAGAATTTTTTATGGTTTAAATCAGGCCCAGATCCATGACAATATAATTCAAAGTTAGAAGAGTTATCTTAAGCCTTTATAGTAAGCACCGTTCTAAACTCTCAATGGTCTTCATTACATCCCTGGATGTAATGAAGATCACTTAAATGAGATTGCAGATCACTTAAATCAGAAACTCTGTAAGTCCCACCCAACAATCTCAGTTAACAATTTCTCCAGATGACTGATGATGCCCACTGAAGTTTGAAAACAACTGCCCTAGATGACCAGGCCAGACCCACAGGTTGTATCCATGCTATAACAACGAGGATGATTATGAGTTTTAAAATTTTGGATTCTTTTGTTAAAGAATAGGAAAGGAGAATGTAGTATTAGTTTATTTTACATCAAGTTTACCTTTAAGTCGATGAGGAAGCCCTCAAATGGTCTGTAAGGATTGTGGACAATAAGGTGGAAATTAAGTTGCTGTATAAGAAGTAGTTCATATTCCAGTATCTGTTCAAGTGCCTTCTCCTGTCCAAGAGGACTCTCCCGGAGGTTTCCAACAAACTGAGGACTAGATACATTGAATTCATCTACTTTGCAGGCCAAAAATGCACAAGTGAGCCTAGAGGAAAAAATAAGGAGGCAGGAGGCAGGGGGTGGGTGGGGTGGAAGAACATGCATATACTTTGAGAAGTATCTAAATAATTTATTTCTAAAAGTATATTCTATAATTGCCTAATATTCAAAAGCGACTGCTAGACATTGCAAGAATTGTTTTTTAAAAGACACTTCCTGTTCACACTTCATTAGGAGACGTAAGACAACTATAAAATTAGGTCAAACCAATATTGCCATGGCATTCAAACATCACTGACTCAATGACAGTGTTATGCAGTACAACCTAAATATCTGGAAAAACAAATTAACTGAGGAATAAGAGTACTTTGTATAATGTAGATGGAAGAGTTAAAAATAAAGCAGTACCCACATATGTACCATGTAAGTATGGGAAGAAAAGTAGGTTAAAGGAACATTGTGGAAGGCCATCGGCAGAAGTCTCTAAGGGCATCTGAATAAGGGACTATTATTTAAGGGACAAACTTGTGAAATTCACCTGGCCACTTCATGCTGTTCAGTATGAGAAAACAGTAAGAAAGCTACTGTAAAAAACAGTTGGCAGTGAGATCAAGGGCCTAATCTTGACTGGTGGAAATGGGAATCAAAAAAGAGAAAACAGGTACAATGTCATTGAGAGCAAACTCTTTGATGAGTTTCATACTAATTTCATTTTTAATGATAGACACAGCGCTCAGCAGAGAGCAGCAACAACAGACCTTTGTTCAACTGAAATGAGTATGAAGCTATAGGATCCGTAAACTGACTGGATGTGGGAGGGGCCACTATAAATGATTCTCAGTCTGAACAACTGGAAGAACAAAGGTGTCTAATAGGAAGAGATGTTAGAGAAGTAGCTAATTTGAGAAAAACAAAATTTGAATCTGGACAAGCTGAAGTTCACATACCATCAGAATTACTGAAGTACAGGTAAACAGAGATCTCAAGTTCTGAATAAAAAAAAAAAAATAGAATTCAAGTCTAAATTACCCTGTATTAGGAAGTCAGTTCTCTCTCTCTCTCTCTCACAATTCTCTCCTCCCAAAAAATACTCAAAAGATTATAAAGGTCTTCTTAAATGAAAACAATATATTAGACAGACATACTCACATTATTATCCTGGGGTGATATTCCATTACTGAGTTATTAAGATAAAAACGTTTGAAATACATACAAGCCGTACCCTAAGGGTTAAAAAAAATATATCATCAGGATCTAGTCACAAATGTTAAATGTTAAATTTTGTGAAACAGAACTTATTTATGGAAAGGTTTCTTTGTAGAGATTACCCAGAAAAATACTAATACTCATTAATTCTTCTTTAATCAAAACAAATTGTGATGAATTACTACAGAAATGCCATAGCCAAAAGATTCTTTCCCATCCTTTGCTTGTCTATCCCCAGCCTACTCTGGCTAATCCTTCCTATGGTCACTGGATTTAAAAATACGTGTGTGTGTGTGTGTGTGTGTGTGTGTGTGTGTATTAGAAATCAGACTATCAAAAATGTTCTGAATTAGATAAATTCAGGAAGAAAAATACAAACGTTCACAGATTAACCAATCTTATAAAAATACTGACAAAAAAACATGGGCAAGGCAATAAGCCTTCTCTCTAAAGCCACTCCATATTTGTGATATAACCATGTATCCATTCCATGATTTGTGATCACTGCTGCCAACTGAATGGCAGAAGCAGCACTACCATTTATTGAATGTATACCATGTGCCAGACTCTGTGCTAAACACGAAACTATCATCATGTTTTAATCCTTACAACAGCTTGGTGAAGTATTACTATCTCTACAGAGAAGGAAACTGAGTATCAATGAGGTTAACTGACTTATCTAGGTCACACAGCTAATAAGGAACAGGAATGAATTCAAGTAAGACCTGCCTGTACTTTTAACCATTATATCATTTGGCTGGAACCAATGAAATAACCACTTATCTATTTTATGATAGAAAAAAGAATATTTCCTTTTAAGTATTTTAAAAGTTTAGTTTTGTCATTATGTAAAACAAAAAATTATTCACCAATGATAAACATGTTATTTAAAAATAAATTCCATAAAGAAGTTCATTAAAGGATTTTTTCTTCATTTGATAAGATCACTTAAATTTACTGCCTCATTTTACAGTTCTTTTGTAAGAACAAGCCAAATCTGAAGATATAAACTAATCAAGTATACCTAAAACTCTCTCTGAATCTTTGACATCTCAGATGAAAAAAAATTGTAAATTCTATGGACTTAATATTTTCAACATACTTCAATTTTTTTTTCAACTATAAAAATGGAGATAATTTCCTAGAAAATTATTCTCTACTGGGTCGTAAGCTAGTCACGCTGTATAACTTTAAAACTTAACAGACTTTTACTTAAGATATACTTTTATATTTGGTCTTCACAACAAACCAGTGAGAGAATAACGTAACAACATTTTGAACACCCTCCCACTCTACCTTTTTTATCTTTCTGCTTTTTAATCTCAGCTACCTGTTTCTCCTCACGGTTGCCCACCCCAGCAAAAAACAAATAGGTCCTCAGAACCATACATCTGAAACAATAAGGCAATCTTTTTCACCAAAGATAAAACTCCAGCTTCTACTAATCAAGGCTTAAAAAAATCTTATGGTATCAGTTTCAGCTGGGGCATATGATTACCAATGATGAATGAATGCATTATTTCAAACATTTATTGGGTGTCACAGAGTTGGAAAAGCAGTAGTCTATGTTCTAGTCCCAGTCCTATGGCTCATTAGTTGAGAACTTAGAGGAAAGTAATTTATTTTTTTTCTTTCTTTATGACATTACCTGACCTCAAATTTTTTTCTGACCACAAAGTGAGACTTGAAATACTTTTGAAGATATGATACAGCAACTCATGATTTAAGGCCTGTATTGAAAAATATATAATGTGCCAAAAACTAATTAATTGTAACTAAGGTGAATTTTTAAGACTTGAGTGGACAGGGAATTTAGAAGAGGTCAAATTTCACAAGCCAACTAAAGGACATTATATTTCATCACCACTGTAACTTACCACAACAGATCTTGGCATTGCTGGCTTAAACACCGAACAGAATTCCAATAACCTTTTCTCATAGTATTTGCAGAGTGTCATTTCTTCATGAGGCTCAAGAAAGACTGGATCATTCGGAAGAACCTTTAGATCAACAATTACAACACAAGTTCAATGAATTCAATGAATTAAACAATTGTAAAACATTTTTCTCTATCTAGATTAAATTTAGTTTATATATCCAACGAAGGGTATATATCACGCCTCATTTTCTTTATAGATTCGCTAATCATTACACAAAATAGCTGTAGGAAAATATTTAATAAACTAAAACTGTACCATCATTTCACGACTTTTCGGAATGTCAGCTAGACCTTTGCTTCATTAAAGTATAAACAATCATGACAGGCTGTGTGCACATGCTCACAGTTGTGATATCATTATTTATAAATTAAAAAGTAGACAGACTTTTTAAAATATGATTGGAAAGCTTCCAACATCCGTTTCTCGGTCAGTCATTACGTCACAAGTTGTAAAAAAACAGCAAATGTTTCAATAAATTTCTGTTATTTTAAGCTACCCAGTTTGTGGTGATTTTTTTAAGGCAGCCCTTAGGAAACTAATTCAGGTGCTAAAATCAGTGATATGAAATAGATGTGAATTAAAGGTAGAAAGTAAAGTAACTCAGTATCGGTAATTTGGAGGCACTGAACACTTGCTGGAGTGGAGCTTGCAGGAAAGATTAAACCAGTCCGAGAGCTGTAACAGAAGGAACTTGGCTAGCGGGCCATAGTCCAAACCATCTTCAGTCACTTGGTTTGTACTTGGTCTCTGGTCTCCCTCCCTCATCCAACCCATTCACCACGAGGTTGCTAGAGCGCTGTTTCCAGAACGGAAATCTGATAAGGTTAGCTTCCCATTTTAAATATTTCAAAGGTTCCTCATCCTTTCAGTGGAAATGTTAAACGCCTCACTTCCACTTACAAGTTCCCTTCCTACCCTCCCCAGCCATTCCTGCACAGGTACTCAACTTCGGCCACATACGACCACAAACACGTCCACGCACCATCTCTGTAACTTCTGACCTCCCTCCCACTCTGAACGGTGGTTCTGACTGCCTGGAACTTCCTTTCCCATTTTCTCCGCATTGGCTACTGGGAAAAACCTTCCCCAACATCATCTCTTGACAAGTGAACGGCTCTTGCCACGCACTACCTTAGCACACTACTTACTCTCTTCTTCACTACGTTACAAAGACTGGTTACTTGTCTGCCATTCGACGACGGGGATGGCGTTGTTCGTCTTTGTACCCACGGAACCTGGCAAGGTGCTCGCTTATTTTGATAGAAAAACGCACTCCGCGCCGCAGAGGCAGAGAAACGACGGAGCGAGATTGTCCTGGGAGCCAGAAGAGCTCCCGCAGCTGCTCAGAATTTAGTGACCGGGCAACTGGGCAACCGTTGGGAAAACCTCACCTTCCCGTTGGCCACGGCTTTGCATCTGAATTTGCGGTTGGCGTCAGCCCGCAGTCTTGCCAGCTGCTCCTCGCTGGAGAAGGTCCAGTGCCGCTTCTGACTACTGTTGTGGTACATTATGGAATCGTGACCAGGTCCAGAGGGTCTGCAGACGAGAACCCAAACGCATCAGCGTCCTGGCGTAAAACACCCGTACCCCCACCGAAGATCTCGCGGAAGCCTAGGGCGTCCGGCTAGCCGGCGCTGGCGCGCTGTCGTCACGATTACGCGGCCAGCCCGTACGCAGTTGCATTTCCGGAGCGGACTAGGAACAGACCGTATCCCGGGTTCGTTAGGGCGCCCACTGAGACGTAAGTGGGCGGAGCCTAGAGAACGCTCCTCTCGGTGAGTCTGGGACATAGCTCCGCCCCTTCCAGGCAAGATTTAAAGGAGAAGCGCCCGGCAAGAGTGTTCAAGGGGCATAAACTGAGGGTACGGAGTAGGCAGATGTAAATTCACAGGGGATAATCAGAAATGAGGAAAGGATTTCGTAGGGTGCTCATTTTTAAATAGAGGCCTCACTGAAGTTGACATTTGTGAAAAGGCTTGAAAGAGTTGAAATAGTAGGTTGATCAATCATGTAGGGAGATCACGGGGCCCAGAAAGAATAGGTAAGATCTTCAGGCAGAAGCATTCCTAGCCCTTTTCAGGAAGAGTTTGGAGACCAGTATTCTTGAAGCACTACCAGAAATCTCGGAGAATGGAACATGGCTGAAAAACTTGAAGCAGTGGATGCGTATTGGCCCTTACAGTTCTGCCACTTTTGTTGCCTTGTCTGTTCTTTCTCTGTGCTTTTTTTCCTTACCCTTCTGTTGATAACTAGCCAATCCTCTCCCTCTGTTTTCATCTCTGAAGCCAGGATGTATGGTAGTATTCGTTTTATTGAGATTCCCATTTTCATTGCCTCTAGGGAGCCTTACAGTAAGCTATCATGAAAATTAAGGTATTTACTATTTTTTAAATTAATAGGACTTTCAAAATTGCAGGTGAGGTTCAAAATTTACATGGATTCTGGTTTGTCCCATTTAGGCATACCTTATTCTCTCATGTATTTATTATATATCCAATCCGAAAAATGGATTTCCCTATGGCAAATAGCTTTTCTAAAAAATAAATAAATAAATAAAAAGAAAGAGAAAGATGATGAGACCTAGAGAATTTAGGTCTTGAAAAGCCCACACAGGTAAAAAGAAGAAGTGGCAGGATGACTTTAACTCTGCTTTCTATTAAAATGTTTTTAGGGGCTTAAGAAAGGGAAAGCCTTTTCTTTTTCATTTTTGTTGGGTACAGCTGAGGTTAGAGTTTGCCACAGTTATCTGAATTCCTCAAACTTATGCCATTTGTGGTATATAATTTTGGAGAGCCACACACTCAACATATGTGGCTAACCTGGTCTCATAAATTGGCTAAGAAAAGAGAGAAAAAGAGAAGATCAAAGGGCATGGCAAATTGATTACAATGAATTGTGAACAACCTAAAATGTTGCATGTTGGGGAAAGAATAATTTAAAAGAGAAAAACATAATGGTACAAAAGATAGGAAAATAAGTGATCTAGATAATTAAATGTCTATATAAAGTCTTAGCCTCATGACTGTTATATATATCATATAAATTCTTTTCATTTTGTTTTTCTGAAAGATATTTGACAACTCCTTAGTTTTATGTAAAGGATAATAAAAATAGGCATTTAAAAGAGTTGGCAGACTGTGATTTCCACAGAGATATGAGTAAAATTTCTGAATGTCATTTAGGAAAAATATATGAAAAACCTGGCATTGCTGGTGTAATTTTTTTTAAACCTTGAACAAATTTTAGTCCATGAAAATTGACATTGATCTTATTTTTCAGATGTAGTAGGAATTGGGCTCTGTCTAAATTAACTGTCTGAGGAATACAATTGTTGCTGATGCCCTAACATTAAGGCTCATGTATGGTTTTTCTTACTAAGGTAAGCAGACTGGATGCTGTGACAGTCTCCTACTCAGCCTGTTGTGCGACAGTGTTTCTTTGCTATTGCTACCACAGGAGGCACACTGGAATGCAGAACTTGTGCCTTTACCTATTTCCATTTCTAGTTTCAACTAAAAAGTAGCAAGTGTTTCTCTTCACTTCTATTATTTTTACTTATTTATTTATGGAGAATTTCAAATATAAAGAATACAGAGAAACATATTTCAAAAATTATCAATACATGGCCAGTTCCCTTCTACCCTCCACCCACACCTCCATTAGGTTTTTTTCTTCTTCTTCTTCTTCTTTTTTGAGACAAAGTCTTGCTCTGTCACCCAGACTGGAGTGCAGTGGCACAATCTTCGCTCACTGCAACCTCCGCCTCCTGGGTTAAAGCCATTCTCCAGCCTCAGCCTCCTGAGTAGCTGGGACTACAGGCTCATGCCACCATGCCCAGCTAATTTTTGTATTTTTAGTAGAGATGGGGTTTCACCATGTTGGCCAGGCTGGTCTAGAACTTGTGGCCTCAAGTGATCCGCCTGCCTGGGCCTCCCAACTCCATTAGTTTTAAATCACAATGTCCCTGCTACTAAATGAAGATATTTCAAACAAGAACAAACCAACTAACCAGACAGAACCTATTCTTCCTAGAAGACATAGGGAAATTCACAGCTTGTTGACAAAGATATCACTATTTCATTAGACACTACTCAGAAGTGAAATGTTAAGAAATATTTCAATGACTTTTAAAAGTAAATACAATCTCTTTTATTGTGCTGCAGTTGTTAAATTGTGCTATGGTATGTACTTGTAGACAAATTCCAAATATTTTGACTTGCAGGCATTACCTGTAAACTAAGGGTTACCAATCAGAGATTAGGTGATGCCAAGCAGGTGTCATCTGTTTGGCCACCACAGAAATGTCCTGTACTTATCCACGTGCTATTCCAAAATTTCCCATAAGAGTATTAGGATTTCCTTTCTCTTGCTTCAGGACAGTCTTCCTTCTTTGCGGTCTACCTAGTGATCTTAATGTTTAGGGAAAAATAAAAGTAAAAAGGTCATATTGCCTGATCTTAGGAGAAAAGGAAGAAAAGGGGAATTAAAAGGTTGTGGGAGTGACCAGTAAATATGTTTGCAACTGAAATAATTTTGCAGTCTAATATAAAACATCTTATAAAGTGGCCAGATTAATTTGTAGTCCTCATTTCCCAAACACATCAGCATACTCACGTTCACACCATTTCTGATTGCAGGGCCACTCACACACACACACACACACACAAAAGGGATAGAAGAGACCAAACCACATCTATGCTCACAAAAACACACAATATCTTTCTTACTTTAAAATCTAACATAAAACTGTATGCCTTCAGCTACTGACATGGATTCGTGACATTTAAAATACAGCTTTACAATGAGTATTTAATAACCCTTTGCAATTGTATTTGGTTAATACACAATTAACAAATTTGTATTTGCAGCATTGGCTGCAAAATCCTTTCTTAGTTTTATTCTCAGATGTCAAGTTACAACTAAGAGAAGAAAAGGAGTCGCCTGAAGCAAGTACCTGGTTTCTAGAAAATAGAATACTACTAAAGGAAAAGAAATAAGAAGAAGAAATAGCATTTAAAAAATATCGTTGATCTATATGTGACCCCCTCAAAATTGAAATGTTTTTTATTTTGCTTTAAGACTATTTCAAATTAAGGCATAAAGAAGACATGACAACATACTAAAGAGAAAATCCTATAAAGCCATCTTCAATTCAGCAAAAATTAGTAAATCACTATACACAAGGCCTAGTACTAATTGTTAGGTGGTAGTGATACGGTGATGGGGTCACAAAAATGACTATCTCATAGTTCTTGTCCCAGGATCCTTGGACTATAGTAGAATTATGGCATGTACGAATACAATCCCCTCTCAATGACAGTAACCTTGGATAGGGCTGACACACACTCTCTCCTTTGACCAAAACTTTAATCAGGCTTTTCTCTGAGTCCTCTGCTTGACTAAGCCTGATCTTGGGCTTTCCTCTCTATTCTAGTACAGATGCTTCTCGACTTAGGATGAAGTTACGATGCAAAAAAAAAAAACAAAAAACCCATCATAAGTTGAAAATATTCCAAGTGGAAAGTGCACTTAATATAGCTAACCTATTGAACATCATGGCTTGGCCTAGCCTACCTTAAACATGGTCCTTGTGACCGCATGGTTGACTGAGAGCTGCGGCTCACTGCCACTGCCCAGCATCAGGAGCGGGTTTGTATTGTAAATCACTCGCCCGGGAAAAGATCAAAATTCAAAACTGGAAGTGTTTCCATTGAATACATACGGCTTTCGCACCATCATAAAATCAAATCATTGTAAGTTGGAGACCATCTGTAGAATCCAGTTGGAACAAGAATCCTGACACGTCACATTAATGAATATCCCCCACCCTTGGTATCAGACCACCCTCAATATCTTATCACCCTGACCTGCCTTCAGCAATAATCCTATCAGGTCAGTTTAGCCAGAAATCCTTTATCCTTGGTGTTTCCTCTTAGTAATTTTCCATCCATTGCTCCCCAACCTGCTTCTTGGTTATAAATTCCCACTTGTCCTTATTGGAGTTAGAATTGAGTCCAATCTCACTCCCCCACTGCAAGACCTTACTGCAGTGGTCCCGAAACCTGTCTCCATAGCTGACTTTGAAAAGGTCTGTCTCACCATTCTTCATTAATAAAGTGTCATTAATAAAGCATTTTTGAGAAAGTCACTTCAACCTATCTTGCCCTAAGTTTCATCTCTTGCATAGTGAAGAAAATAGTTGTAGCTACCTCATAAGGTGGTTGTGAGGATTAAATTAGTTAATACATGTGAAGATATAGCAGACTGGCTGGCTTCCATAAAATGTTTTAAATTGTTAATTATTACTTCATTGACACATGGCATAGGCTAATTGGAAGATACAACATTTTTGTGAATTTGTATTGATGCTGATGGAGAGGGCACTGTTGGTGGATAGGATTTGCTTGAGTAAAGGCAAAAGGGCACAATGTGCAGGGTGTGTCTAAAGACTAGGAAGTAGAATAGCTTGATTGATTGGAGAATAAGAGGGCTTTGAATGTCAAAATTTTTCAATTGGCGAATGAAATGATCAGAGTTGCATTACTTTAATCTGGAAATTATTTGTGACTCTTTTGATAGTGAGGACTTTATAAAGCCATCATTAAAATAATTGAAATAGAACAGGGGATTAAGTCTATAAGTGATACCCAAATGCCTGTGTTGTTGAACTAGCTACATGAGATTCAGGATTATAAAGAGGAATTCCTCACTATGTCTCCAGATAGAGAGATAGGTAGTATATCATGTATATCACACCACATATGCTCTATGAGATGTAACCAATCCATATAATATATTTTTGTGTGAAATTATGAAGTAGGGCCTAGGAATTTTGGCTTATAAAAATCATGTTTGAAAGTTTTTGCAAATGTAAAATGTACAGGACTTGGCAAATAGGATGGATAAGGTGGTGGGATGAAAGAGGAATGGCAACTCTAAAAAGAAGTGACTTTCAAATATGAATCAACATATCAATCATCTGGATCATGTTAAAATACAAATCAGTGATTCCAATTCAGTAGGTCTGGAATGAAGCCCCAAGAATCTGGATCCTTAAGTATTACCTTGAGTTTGGTGATTTTTAAGCTTTAGGGTTCATCGTACTCATATGGAAAGCTTGTTGAAACACAGATTGCTGAATTTCTCATTCAGCCAGTCCTGGGCGGGCCCAAGCATTTGCGTTTCTAACTAATTTCCACATAATACTTGGAACGTGGACCACCACAGTTTGAGAACCACTACTCCAGTTTATTTTTATAGCCTGGGTAATGGGGAGAATGATGGTGTCCTTATTGTTAAGAATCTTCACCTTTTCTATTAGGTTGAACAAAACCATACTTTTATTCTTTGTTACCTAAGAGAAAAAAATGGAGGATGCTTAGTCATTTGTTGGCCTTATCCAGACAACATGACCATGGTGAAATTTAATATCCATTTGAAAAAAAATGACTAATAATATTCTCACTGGATAAATAAAAGGTGAAGAAAAAATGTATTCTCTCACAGTTGGATTGAAATATACTTTTGTTGTAGAGTAATAAAAATTATCAACCACTTTAGTTATTCTTCTGTTGTTTTAAAGTCTAGAATTCAGATGATAAAGAAAATTGAAAGGATACTTTTTTTTTTTTTGGTTTCTCTATTGACAGGCGTCAGTAAAATGTGAATTGGGCTCACAGACCAAATTCAGTCAATGCCTATTTTTGTACGGTCCACAAGCCAAGCATGGCCTTTACGTTTTTAAGTGGTTGAAAAAAATCAAAAGTAATATTTCATGCCTCATGAAAATTATATAAAATTCAAATTTTGATGTCTATAATTTTATTAGAGTTCTCCAGAGAAACAGAACCAATAGGCCAATACGATTTGTGTGTCTGTGTGTGTGTGTGCATGTACATATACATATGTATATATAATACATAATATTTTGGATATTGGAACTTGCTCACACAATTATGGAGGCTGAGAAGTTCCATGATCTGCTGACTGCAAGCTGGAGACCCAGGAGAGCTGACTGTGTAAGTTCCAGTCCAAGTACAGGAGAAGATCAATGCACCATCACAAAAAAAGTCAGGTACCAAGAGAAAATTCTTCCTTATACTATCTTTTGCTTCATTTAGACTTCCAATACATTGGATAAGGCCCACCAACATTGGGGAGATCAAACTGCTTCACTCGCCCTACTGATTCAAATGTTAATTTCATCTATAAACCCTTCACAGACACACCCAAAACAATGTTCAGCCAAATGTCTGGGCACCCCATTGTCCTAGTCAACAAAATACATCCCTTCTCAGCTTGGCATTCATTCACATCTCTTTAAATCATATTTAATCTCCAAATAAACACAATAACAAGGTCATAACTCCACTTTACATAATACAACTATCCCACATACAACTGAATATGCATTACCCAATCCCCAGAAAAGGAGGTAAAGTTCTTGATGTTTACTCTTCTCCTTGACATCCTGTAACTTAAAAAATACTATGATGTAAATTGAACAATACTTAAATATTATGTTAATAAATCAATACATTATATAATACATAATAAAGGAATAAGAGAGGGAGAAAAAGGTATTTACTATACACACACAAACATTTCTTAACAAAATAAGGGGGAAATACTCCTAACAGTCCTCATTTATGTAACTGATTACATGGTTGTAGTTGATATTTATAACTACCTTCTTTCACTAACTATCCTGTTTTTTTTTTTTTATTTGTTTGCCTTTAGCAAGACCCTGAGCTGGTTCTCTACCTGGTCAAGTGACCCAAGCCTTCATTCCTGAAGGATCTGGGGCATTAAGAGTTTTGCCTGGATTGGGTTGTTGTAATTTTACATTGACTTTAATTACTGGACATGTAGTACAGAGGAGCATCCTACAGGTTCTACTGCATTTCAGACATACTCAACCTTACTTCCATTGTGCAGTAGCAGTCCAATTTCCCCTTGCTAGTTCTGATCAGTCACCACAACTCTCTTCTTTGCCTGTTGATTCAGAGGCATGAGGAATTCAAAGTGGCTGGGCAGCAGTTTTTATTAATTTATTTTTCAATGGAACACTTCATGAATTTGCATGTCATCCTTGCACAGGGGCCATGCTAATCTTCTCTGTATCGTTCCAATTTCAGTATATGTGCTGCTGAAGTGAGCACAGTTTTCATTGTTGTATCTCCTAGTGGAAGCATTTCTCCCTCAGGAACTAAGACTTTTAGGCCAGTAGAGCATAAGGTAATGGGAACAGGAAGCAAACATTTTATTAGGGGGTCACAAGGAGTAATAGTGAATAAATTCATTCCCGTTTCTGCCCCTTATTCCTGGACCCATGAGTCCTTGCTATGGAAGAAACAGCTCTATCTATATATTAGATGTTGATTCAGAGAATGTGCAGCCTTCTGGAGAAGCTTGTCTCAGCACTGCAAAATATTACCATCTAGCTCGTGCTGTAACTAGGTTCTCCAAAGGCCATTCTACTGTTCTATCAAATTGTTTCAGGATAGTGGGCAACATGATAAGGCCTATACATTCCATGAGCATGGACCCATTACCATACTTCTTTTGCTGTGAAGTGAGTCCCTTAATCAGAAGCAATGCTGTGTGGAATCTGTGGAATCCTGTGCCCATGGATAAGGCATTCTGTAAGTCCAGGATCACAGTTTTGGTAGAAGCATTGCATGCAAATCCATACTTAAGATGGTCTTGCTTACAGAGAAGAGGCATCAAAGAACTCTTCAAGGATGCCAGGGCCCCCCTCACACATTTATTTCTCTCAATACTGGTGAAAGTTTGTTTTATGGATCCTTCCAGTGTGGGTGGATAGGTCTTGCATGACAAATCCACTCTAACATTTCACAATCTCCCTAAGCGTTTGAATTTCTTCCTCTGCATTATACCAAGGCAAGTCTGACATTTTCAGTTCACTTACTGTGGGCTACTTTTTAGAACGTGTTTCAGCCAACCAACTGAACAAATTCATGGTGCCCTTTCCAACTCTCTGAGCCGTAACACTAAATGCAGGCTATGCTTAGTGAGCCCATATCAATAAATTCAGCCTGATCTAACTTTATCTTCCTTTATTTCACACTCTTAATGTTCATTCCCACACATGTTTCCTGGACTTCTGTCTGTACAAATTAGAAAGCTCAAGCAGTTCTGTTGACATGTAGTGAACCCTCTCATGAGTCACACTTTTTACCTCACTTTTAAGGGCCTGCTGGGACTTGAGTCTAGCTATAGGTCTAGAAACAAAGAGAGGTGGGTCTTAGGACAGTCAGCATTGTCTTGCATGGCAACTGTCTCATGGGAGGCCATTAAACTTTCCTCAGGCAATGCAGGGTTAATCTCAGACTGGATTAAAAAGGCTGATGCCACTGGTAGTGGGGAGGCCACTAACACTGGGGCATGGGGAGGCTGTTTCCACAGGGGATGGGGAGGCATGCCTTCTGGGAGTGGAGAGGCCTCTTCCACTGGTAAAGAGACATCAGAATTTAGAGACAAAATATCCTCAGCTTTGTCAAGGTCTTCCCACACATCCTCATCCTAAATCTTATTCTTTCCCAATCAGTGCCCACACTTTAACAGCAGACATTCGACAAGGCTGGGAATTTATAAGAAATTAAATTGTAATTTAGTCTCGGGATGGTATTCTGCATTCAATTTTCAACCTAGCCCTTTGGCTATAGGAGATAAGGGTCTCCTTTAGGACACAGATAGAAACTCAGGTCATTTATGTGGTGCTCAAGCTGTGAATTTGAATCCCCGAGCTCATTCTTTTCCTTCACCACTTTGTCCAGCAACAGTGGAACAACCAGTCAATCTTATTGTATTGATTAGTTTTCCAAAAAAGCTTGGAATTACCATATACACAGCCACCCAACTTGTTGCTTCTTGTAAATGGTTGATTAGGAGTGTTCAGTGCAGGTATTTTGTGTATCTTTGCTACCAGTTCATGCCATAGACTATCAGTGCCCCTACGTATATATTTACTATAAGGAATTGGCTCACATAATTATGAAGGCTGAGAAGTCTCATGATTTGGATCTGCATTCTACAAGGTGGAGACCCAGGAGAGTTAGTGTTATAGTTCCAGTGCAAGGCTAAGGACCAGGAGAACCAATGGTAGAGGTTTCAGCTGAAGTGCAGGAGAAGAAAACAGTCTGACAGACAGTGAATTCTCCCTTACTTCATCTTTTGTGGTATTCAGGCCTCCAATGGATTGATGGAGGCCCACTCACATTGTGGAGGGCAATCGGCTTCACTTAGTCTACTGATTCAAATGTTAATCTCATCTATAAATATCCTTACTGACACACCCAGAACAATTTCCAACCAAATACCTTGCACCATGTGTTGCAGTCAAGTGAACATATGAAATTAACCATCACTTTAGTGAGTTTTATTGAAACAAAGCCACACTTGTTCATTTCCATATTGTCATCTTTGGCTGTTTTCAAGCTACAACAGCAGAGCTGAGGAGCTGAAACAGAGACCATTTGGCCTGCAAAACCCAAAATATTTACTATCTGACCCTTTATAACAAAAAATTTTGCTCACCAATGTTCTAAGAGAGTGCTTTTAACATTTTAATATATGTACATATCAACTGGGGATCTTGTTAAACTGTTGATTCAGATTCAGTAGGTCATAGCCAAAATTCTCCATCACTATCATGCTCCTGGGTGAGGTCAGTGCTGCTAGACTGAAAACTGTACATCCTATTTGTCAATTTTTGCTCTTCTCATAGTCCCTAACTATAATGCCTTAAACTTCTGCCTATGCAGGTTCTCTTTAGGTTCATCGAACTTAAATCCTGTTACTTCTGTTTATTCTCCAAACTATTTCATCTTATTGTGAACTCTTCTTCCTCATTGTACTTACTTTGTTTCACATTTTTAGGCTTTAAATGTATTCTGTGTTCCCTAGTTGTTGCACTTTTTTTTTTTTTTTGAGACAAAATCTCACTCTTGTCCCCCAGGCTGGAGTGCGATGGTGCAATCTTGGCTCACTGCAACCTCCACTTCCAGGGTTCAAGTGATTCTCCTGACTCAGCCTCCCAAGTCGCTAGGATTTCAGGTGCCTGCCACCACACCTGGCTAATTTTTGTATTTTTATTAGAGACAGCGTTTCACCATGTTGGCCAGGCTGGTCTCGAACTCCTGACCTCAGGTGATCCACCTGCCTCGGCCTCCCGCAGTGCTGGGATTACAGGCTTGAGCCACCGTGCCTGGCCTGACTTTTTAATGTGTGACTATCTTAACTCCTTCAAAAGATTTAAAGTTTAGATATTCTGTTTTGAGACATCTATTACCTATTATGCTTGCATAGTACCTTACATATAGAAGGTATTCTCAAGATAGTTATTAAATTAATTACTGTTCCACACCTAGAGAGGATATAGTTAAATCAACAGTACATCATCACAGTACATGAAGTGATATTCTTAGTCATTGATACATTTTTAGAAGTGATTCATTTTTCTCTTTAATATTATTGATAAATTTCAGTGATAAGAATTATTCTTCTTCCTGAATGAAAGACAGTATTGAAGTAAAATACAAATCTTTGGATTAATACATTAAATCAGGCTATAGAATTGAAATTTAAACTTGTCTCAAGCCTTGAGATGAAAAGTACACCTTAATTACGAACTGAAAAACTGCTTATTGTGCAAATTGCCTGGAGGCTGGATAATTAGAAATGCAATGTTAATTTCACTAGTTTAATAATTTCATTTTCAGAATTTGCTTGAAGAGGTATTGATAAATTGCAATAGCCAATCATGTATGAAAGTTTACAGACTATGAAAATGTTTTATTTTGCCATTAAGAATCACACATTCCAGCTTTTGAAGAGAATTATGTGAGTTATTAAATAAGATGAGAAACTTCTGCTGTCATAAAAATTAGCCAATTTACTTTGCTCTTCTAATCAACTTAAAATTTCTACCTGAACTATTTTAGTATATTCCAATAATAAAAGTAGTATGAATATGAAGCTGCTTTCAAGGAATCTTATAGATAGATATAAAAAGCAGTTATAAATGTTTGGCATTTTATGAACTTTTGAGTTCCTTTTTTTTCTTTTTTTGAGATGGAGTCTCACTCTGTTGCCCAGGCTGGAGGGCAGTGGCGCAATCTGGGCTCACTGCAACCTCTCTGGTTCAAGCAATTCTCCTGCCTCAGGCTCCTGAGTAGCTGGGATTACAGGCACCCACAACCACGCCTGGCTAATTTTTGTCTTTTTTTTATTAGAGATGGGGTTTCACCATGTTGGCCAGGCTGGTCTTAAACTCCTGACCTCAGGTGATCAATCCATCTGCCTTGGCCTCCCAAAAGTGCTGGGATTACAGGCATGAGCCACCGCGCCTGGCCAACTTTTGAGTTCTTAAAGCAATATTCTTTATATCCTTTACCTCAAAATAAATATGATAATTTCACTATTTAATACATTTGGGACTTAATAAATACAAATAAGTACATTTTTAAAAATAAATGTTGTACCCAAGGAAACATTATAAAGGAATTTCACATGTAAGTACTATATCAGGTTTGAATAAAGTATTGGAATTCTAAACATTTTCAGGTTTGAATACATATTTTTCTGCTAATCAGCACATTACTTTTGTTTTTTAAAATTTATTTCTAAACTAATATTGTCATGACAACAGCAACCAGGATCAGAAGGAAAAAAAGCAATGAGCCAACTTGGCACATCACAGTTTATCCACATGGTGGAGCCATGTGGCTAGATCCTGGAGACACCAATTTTATTACCCTCATCGTTTTGTAATAACTCATGATAAATCCAACCAACCAAATTTCTTCTTCCTGTGTGCAGTTTTCTCTGGTTCTCTTAGTTTAGTTCCTTATTATCTTGCACTGTAGCAGAGTGCAGTCTTATTCTATTCCAGTCTGTCTTCTACAGCAGTGATTTGCTAATCTTGGCTGCACATGGGTAACTCCTGGGCAATTTTTACAAACCCTTGTGCTGAGGGCCCTACCTCAGGCTAATTGAGCAGCAGTCTGCAGGGCAGAGTCTGGACATTGGCACATGTTTAAAGTCTCCATGTGTGATTCTATCCTGAAAGCAAGGTTGCAAACCAGTGCATACTACCACTGTAGACACCTTTTTCAATTATAAGTCTAATCACACCACTCTTCCAGTTAAAATTGTTCATTGGCTCCTCATCAACTTTCGGATAAAATCAACCTCATTAACAAGGCAAACAATCCCCCTCAACATCTGACGATTGCTTTTCTAGAATCACCACCATCTTCCACCCCACAGCACATGCAGAGTTCCAGCCTAAAGAATTGCTTGCAGGCTTCTAAACTTACCAGGCATTTTCACACTTCCAGAATTGCCTCATAACTCTAGCAACTAATACACTAGGCACTAATCAATATTTACTGAATGACTAGATGAATACTCTAAAATGGCTTCCTCTTATTTAGGACAGGGATGTTTATTTTTGTCAAACAACTCTCAAGTGTTTGCTTGCCTTTCGGTGGCTTAGAGTACAGAACGTGGCACCAGGTCAACCAACAGATGTTAACTATATTCTAAAGAAGACACTGTTTTCTGCCAACTTATTGAATTCAAAGGTAACATCAGAAACTTCCTTAGAAACAGCTGCTTTTACGTTGTACTTCTTTTCAATCTAAAATTCTCAACTCTAACATTTCTGTTTCAGTCAACGGAAAATGGACTGCCTGCATGTGGATGATGGTGCAGATATTCTTTTTAAATTAGTGGATGCTCGTATTCACTAGCTAGTCATTTAGAATCTTTGACTTTATAATAGTTCTCATCCTAAAACTGCCAAGACCCTAATGGAACTGGATTTTCAAGAGTGGATATTATGGAAGAGTAAGTGGTGTGATTTTAGCCAGGGCCGCCTTCTCCATTAGGCACAGTAGGGGCAGTGCCCATGGACCACAGTGCTTTTAGGGGCCCACGATCATGTTTTAATATCTTTTAAGTTAGAAGGAAAAAAAATACCCTTTTGCGTCAAAGAAAATGTTTTAACATAAAATAGTAATATAGTCATCTTTATGTCAACACAGTGATAAAATACAATTTGTAATTCTGTTGTATTTTGGCCATGAAGGCAAAAGCAGCTAGGGCCCAGGAAAGTCATGTGACCCTCATTTCAGAAAAACTAGGGAGGAGCCCTTCAGCCCTAAAATGTCTCCTCAGATGTGCCTGCCAGATGATGTAATACTGATAGCATGTAGTAAGTTATCTTGGTCTTTATTTTCTGATCATCAGTATCTATCTCAATACGGTTTCCCACCCACTTCCCAGGAGAAGTAGAGTTAGTTGCTTGTACTCACATATCAAACAACTTTAGAATGTTCCTGTAATCATATCTTCAACCTGATTTTTCACTTGGCGTGTACCATCCAAGTGAGTCCCTTAGCATGTCAAAGCTACTCCTTTTGAACAGACATATCTTTTTTTAAAATCTTTTTGTTTTTATTGTTCTTTAAGTTCTGGGATACATGTGCAGAATGTGCAGGTTTGTTACATAGTTATACACGTGCCATGGTGGTTTTCTGCACCCATCAACCTGTCATCTACATTAGGTATTTCTCCTAATGCTATCCCTCCCCTAGGCCCTCAGCCCCCAATAGGCCCCGGTGTGTGTCGTTCCCCTCCCTGTGTCCATGTGTTCTCATTGTTCAACTCCTACTTATAAGTGAAAACATGCGGTGCTTGGTTTTCTGTTCCTGCGTTAGTTTGCTGAGAATGATGGTTTCCGGCTTCATCCATGTCCCTGCAAAGGACATGAACTCATCCTTTTTATGGCTGCATAGTATTCCATGGTGTATATGTGCCACATTTTCTTTATCCACTCTACCATTGATGGGCATTTGGGTTGGTTCCAAGTCTTTGCTATTGTGAACAGTGCGGCAATAAACATACGTGTGCATGTGTCTTTATAGTAGGATGATTGATAATCCTTTGGGTATGTACCCAGCTGGGTCAAATGGTATTTCTGGTTCTAGATCCTTGAGGAATCGCCACACTGTCTTCCACAATGGTTGAACTAATTTACACTCCCACCAAAAGCATTCCTATTTCTCCACATCCTCTCCAGCATCTGTTGTTTCCTGACTTTTTAATGATCACCATTCTAACTGGTGTGAGATGGTATCTCACTCATTGTGGTTTTGATTTGCATTTCTCTAATGACCAGTGATGATGAGCTTTTTTTCATATGTTTGTTGGCTGCATAAATGTCTTCCTTTGGAAAGTGTCTGTTCGTATCCTTTGCCCACTTTTTGATGGGATTTTTTTTTTTTGTAAATTTGTTTAAGTTCCTTGTAGATTCTGGATATTAGCCCTTTGTCAGATGGATATATGGCAAAAATTTTCTCCCATTCTGTAGGTTGCCTGTTCACTCTGATGATAGTTTCTTTTGCTTTGCAGAAGCTCTTTAGTTTAATTAGATCCCATTTGTCAATATTGGCTTTTGTTGCCATTGCTTTTGGTGCTTTAGTCATGAAGTCTTTGCCCATGCCTCTATGTCCTGAATGGTATTGCCTAGGTTTTCTTCTAGAGTTTTTATGGTTTTAGGTCTTAGGTTTAAGTCTTTAATCCATCCTGAGTTAATTTTTGTATAAGGTGTAAAGAATACCTGAATGGTATTGCCTAGGTTTTCTTCTAGAGTTTTTATGGTTTTAGGTCTTAGGTTTAAGTCTTTAATCCATCCTGAGTTAATTTTTGTATAAGGTGTAAAGAAGGGGTCCATTTTCAGTTTTCTGCATATGGCTAGCCAGTTTTCCCAACATTATTTATTAAATAGGGAATCCTTTCCCCATTGCTTGTTTTTGTCAGGTTTGTCAAAGATCAGATAGTTGTAGATGTGTGGTGTTATTTCTGAGGCCTCTATTCTGTTTCATTGGTCTATATATCGAACAGATACATCTTGATGTTGCCTTAATTGAAAGGTGCCAATAGTAGAAATGGGTATAGTAATAAAAATCATAGTGACCTATCATTTATACTCAGATTTTCTTAGAATCAGTCTTATCAAATGTCCTCTAGTGAAAGAGGTTGCCAAAGTTTTCAAGTTTATAAAAATAAATGTTTTTGAAAATGTTGCTCATTGCAAAGTGCTCAAAATTCATGATTAGAATGTGAATGACATTTATATACCCCTTCTTTACACCTTATACAAAAATTAACTCAAAAAAAGCTTGCATGTGGATGATGGTGCAGATATTCAAAAACAAGTGGTTTTGCTTTTCTAATGTAAATTCAAACATGCTGTTGAATTAATTAACTAGTATTTCTATGACATTGAATAGGTTTAATATAATTCTTCATTAAAGATAAATAGTAAGCCCTACTGCCTGTATTGGCCATATCAGGGAATCCCTTATCCGTGATAGTGCCATTTTAAGGTTGATGATTCTTGATAACTACAATGTGTTTGGAATACTTTTCTTGGCTACATAGAGCATCTTAAAAAAAAAAAAAACTTCAGTGTCATGTTCATAAATAGTAGGAATCTCTTAGCTGTGTGGGTTCTGGGTCCCTAGATGGCATTCAGTTGGTGGACTTGAATAAGAACTCTTCTTTCTATCAAAAAATAAATGAATGATATTGACGTGGTTCGTTCATAATTTTATAGTAAATGATGAGTTCATGTCCTTTGTAGGGACATGGATGAAGTTGGAAATCATCAGTCTCAGTAAACTATCGCAAGGACAAAAAACCAAACACTGCATGTTCTCACTCATAGATGGGAATTGAACAATGAGAACACATGGACACAGGAAGGGGAACATCACACTCTGGGGACTGTTGTGGGGTGGGGGGAGGGGGGAGGGATAGCATTAGGAGATATACCTAATGCTAAATGACGAGTTAATGGGTGCAGCACACCAGCATGGCACATGTATACATATGTAACTAACCTGCACATTGTGCACATGTACCCTAAAACTTAAAGTATAATAATAATAATAATAATAATAATAAAATAAAGTAAAGATAAAGTCATAATTGTTTAAATGATTATTTTGGATATTACTTTGCTTGGTTTTCCCAGCATCTTTTCCTCCTTCTGGGATTAATAGACTACCTTTAGTAAAGATTGCTAATCATAGTACATTGTGCCCACAGTGATTAGTCCAAGGAGTGGGCACCAGACATATGTCATGCCAGTCAGACTCTTCCTTATGAATTTAAGCTTGAGTTAGAGGAATGAGCCCTTCTATCTCAGATGGTAAAGTTGTAAGGATATTAATCCAGCATTCACTAGTGGTAGTGATTCAACCTTGGAATGAGAGTTTTAAGCAGACAGAGGAATAAAAGACAAGATGGAACCAAAGAAAAGAAGACAAGAAACAGTGTTGAAAAGGTTTTTCATGTCTCTAGTTCTAATTCCTGAGGTCCTCAAGAACCCTAATTTTTGTTATTCCTGGTCTTGGTCATTCATGTTCAATCTATGAGCTGATCCAGTGTCCTTTAAAAATATCTGCAAACACACCTGCCTTCTTTTTTAAGACCCTCCTTATCTTTAGTTTACATTTATCCATTCCTTTAAGTAGAATGCTTTAATATATTAACTAAGGATGAAACTTCAAACATGTTGTTAATTGGTAGAAAAATTTGAGGATAATGGAATTATAGGATTAAATGAGATAATATATATCAAACATTCACACTTGATCTTAGCCAAAAGATCAAGAAGTGATTTTTTTTTTTTTTTTTTTGATGAGACATCACACCAGGCTGGACTGAAACTCCTGGTCTCAAGAGCTCCTCCCCCGAGTAGCTAGGACTACAGGTGCACGCCATTGTGCTCAGCTTTTTTTCTTTTTCTTAAAGTTGGAAAGACAGACTTTATTCAAGGGAGGCTCACAGTAATAGGTATAGGAACCACTACAATGGGGTCTTGCAGTTGGGGAGAGAGATTAGATTCCTCAAATATTTGATCACTGTCTGGCATATATTAATTTAATAAAAAGTTATTTTAAAATTATTATCTTTCTTAATTACTTGTACAAACATGCTTTGATTATTAAATTATTTCCGGACTCTCAGTTTCACAAAACAAAAAGCAAACTTGGGTACATTTTCTACTTTATGACATAAGTAGCCATTCAAATAATGGGAACCTATCTAGGGCCATCCATAGGGTGTGCAGGGTACAGGGCAAAACTTTTTTGTCAGGCTCCTGTCTATGTGGTTAATTTGATTTTACAATGTGTTATGAAATTCACAGGCCCATGTGAGTTATAGTGATAGGTTGATGGTGATTTAGAATAATGAGTTGAGAAGGGATTCTTTGTAGTATCTGCCAAAAACTGTGAAGGTTCTGAGAGTTTACCCTAATGCAATCTAACAAGTTAGTTTGTTACTATTTCGAGGATACTGGCAAAAAAACAGGAGACTCCTGGGTCAGAGGCAAAGGATTTAATTGCTCACAGTACAGCAAAAAGCATGAGCATCAGCATATTTGCATTGGTTCTCCTTGCCAAGTATCAGAGCTTGATGAAATGGGCTTAGATGATACCTGTACTTGCAGTGAGTTGCATTAAAGTAGGGGTCCCAAGGGTACAGGACTCTCTGAGCAAGCTACAAAATGTTGTAGCAGGTAGCAAATCATTCAGACCCCTCCTGCTACAAACCTGGAGTCTTATTGTGGTCACTTTGACCTACTTAGTGCCTATGTGTCCCTGATCAGTAACAGGGGATGGATAAGGCTAGTAATCTGGCACACAGAGCAAGAACATGCAAGCCTGATCAGGCCCATGGCAGATGACATTTTCTAATAGTATCCAGGTATCATCTTTTCCTGTTCAGGTACAGGAGCCCTCTCTTCTTTATTGTAAAATGTACCATTCCTGGCTAATTTTATATCTCTTACTCAAAGAAAAAGGCATTAACATTGTTATTACTCATAAGGTCATGGCTTGCTGGAACCTGCTTATATTGAAAAATATAGATCTTGCCTCTGCAGTTCCCTAATACCATTTATTTAATTCTGGTTACATGATTGCTCATGACTTTGCATCATCCATAGTGCTTTCCATGATTACTGGCCCCCAAAGACTCTCTTAAATGTTGTTACTATGTTTTATTGATGATGAACAGAAATGTAAACTTACCCAGACTATGCAGAAACATGTGAACAACAATTCATTCTCCATTCATGTTAAATTTCTCGTTTTGAATTTTAATGCATAAGCATAGAACAACATGACTTCCAACTATATTTTCTCTTGAACTCCTTAGGCTATAATCACTGCACACATAAAACATGATCTTCTTAAAAGTTGACTCTCTCTTCCTTCTATACACTGCCACCAGAGGAGAGAACAGATGAGGAGTTTGAGGGGAAGGGGAATGGGATAGGGAAAGAATGGTCCAATTTGTGTAAGGAAGTCCATCTTACAAAAGCATGGCATTACCACAGTGATCAATAGCCAGAGTAGATATAGATCCAAAGGCCTTAGAGTAGATAATATGACCAAATCCCAGAGAACTGCCAGACATGGGGCATGGAACCTAAAGAAGGGGTAGGTATCTGCCACAGGGATGGCCAAGGGTACATAGGGTAAAGAATACTCTTCAGTGCTGGATCAAAGGTGGTACTGTGGTCACAACAGAGGTGAGTGTGAGCCCATGTTCTAGACCACACACTCAGATCAAGCTCAAGTTTTAGCAGTAGATTCTTTGTAGCTCTGAGTCCTGAACTTGTCTTACATCGATAAGAGAGTCGGCCAACATCTGCTGCTTGTTGGTTCCATTCTGAAAACTCAGTCTTGTGTGGTCCCACAAAAAGAAATTCTGTGCTGACATTGGGAGTTACCACTCTTCAGTCTGCTCTCTTGGATTAGAGGTCAGGCAGGGGTCTCAGGACAATCCCATCCGCATGAGCCCTAGGGTTCCATGGGCATTTGGTAGAACCCAGGTCCTGGAAAGTTGGTTGGAGAAATACCTTAGTGGAGAAATGGAGAATGAAGACCTTGTGTTTTATGATCTGAGCTTGGAGAACCCTGATTGGATGGCACTGCTGGTCTAGCCACTACCAGGCATAGAGGAAGCTACAGAAAATGTAGAGAAAAACACTCCAAAGTGTGAGATCCTTCTAGAACTGGAAATATGCAGGCCTATGTACTATAGTCTGAATGCTTTTGTCCTCTGAAAATTCAAAGATGGAAACCTAATCTCCAACGTGATGGTATCAGGAGGTGGGGCCCTTTGGGAGGCAATTAGGTCATGAGGGCTCCTCAGCATCCAGATAAAAGGTTACTGTCCTTATAAAAGAGACACTATGAGGCTTGTTCCTTCCCTCTTCCACCACATGAAGACACAGCTAGAAGATGTCATCTATGAGGGAAGGGGCCCTCATCAGACACTGAATCTGCTGATGCCTTGATCTTGAACTGTTCACCTTACAGAACGGTGAGTAATAAGTTTCTGTTGTTCATAACATACCCTGTATATGGTATTTTGTTATAGCAGTTTAAATGGACTAAGACATTGTGCCTATCCAACATCTGACACCACCATTTTAATATTTTAATTCCTACTTTTTATGTTTTTAAACTTTTAGACTTGAAAATCAATTTCATTTGTTTATTCTTTGCTCTCTTTCCTCTTTCAAAATATTGCACCACTCAGAATTTAATATTAATTGAAAATGTTTTTTTTAAATGTCAATAATTCCCGAAGATACTATATTTAACCTGGGAAAATAAAAGACATTCTATGTCTTTGGGATGAGAATTGAATCACACCAGAAACTACACTCAATAAATAGTGCTTCAATGTTTCCCACACTGCTGTTTAAATATGTATACTTAATAGTTCTATTTTCTAATTTTATATGGATGACTCAACAAATCTGTAGTTGCTAATTAAAATAATTCTGTAGTTAAGTAAAATTTGCATATAATAGATGTATTATCCTATCAAAGTATTAGACAAACTTTTGTTTTTATAGAAGTTTGTTGTGATCATCCCCATTATTTTATTTACTCCTCACAATAAGCTAATAGGTAGATACAGGCCATGTAAATAGCTGGCTTTAATAGATGAGGAAACTAAGGTGAGGGACTTAAGGTCGTCAAAGGTTATATATTTGATGTCACAGTCATGAACAGAACTGGGCTTGCTGGACTCATCTGATGCTCTTGTGCTTCCAGCAACTACCATGTTCTTTCCCCAGGCATACCTATCATGATTAAGATAATGTTTATTCTGAGTCTTTTTGATGTTTATCATGTCAAAAAAGATAACATGTCATTTTTCTTTCTTTCTTGATGCCTATGTTGCTTCAAGGGAATATAGTTTTAATATTCAATAGTGAATATTAAATACATCTCTTACACATGATATATGACAAGAAATCTATATTCTGCATTCAGCGTTGTACTGTTACCCAACATTATGATATATGTGTCAATGCAGAGAACACAACGGATTGGATCCTCCTGCCAGTCACCTTTTAACTACCTAAATTTCACAGCTTCTCAGGGATGCAGGCAGAAGAATCTTGCTGCTTGTTAGCTTTGATGCCCCCATGTCCCTTTCTTAATTCCGAATAAAGAACAAAAAGATTAGTATCCTTATGTGGTTGGTAACTGATAAGCAGAACAGTTTTCCCCATTTTCAAAAGAAGTGATGCTGTCATAACCTGCTCCTAGGGTTCCAACAGGACTTCCTGTCATTCTACAAGATTCCAGGGATAGGTTCATAATGATTGCTTAGGTGTGCAGGCTGACATTATAAAGCTAGGGGATAGTGCAGTGTAGTGGGGAACAGCAAGAGTTCTGGAGTTAGACGAAACTAGGCAGACTCTTACTTTGCTGTTTACTGCTTGTGTGATGTGGTCAAGTCTTGTACCTACATTGAGTTCATTTGGACCTACATCAACATGTTTGTTTTTTTTTAAACTAGAATTTCCCAAATGAAAATCATTTAGTATTCTTGAAATGACTTGAAACTGGTTTCTCTGACAGTAGACTCTTATCATCAAAATCTCTAAGGTTCTAACTATGATTTTATGATAGCCCATGTTCATCTATAGATGGTTGAGGGAGAAGTAAGTTCAATGAGTTCTGGGAACAGAAATCCAACATTTTACACAAGTCCTTTCTAGTTCTTTGTTTTCTTTCTTTTTTGATGATATAAGTTCTGTTTCAACAATACTTTTTCACAATATCTAATGTAATACATAGGAAAAAGAGATGTGGCAGGGCAATAGAGTATGGTACAAAAAAGTAGATGTAAAACCCTTTTATAAAAAACTTTTTTTAAAAAAATAAATCATGTTCATGAACTTCAAGGCCTCTCAGAGAAATGGTGCTGCTTGCCAAAGTCCTCTGCAGAAGTGTGTGTGATAAAAGTGTTACAGGTCCAATCTGTCTTTATGGCCCTGTTCCTTCCTTCTTCGTCACAAATACCACATACAGTTATTAAATTATATCTGAATTTATAAAAGATTGAAGAAAACAAAAAGCAATGGAGAAAGAATTGTAAATGAGAGTGACATGGCTTTCCCATGGTCCAAAGGGAAAGTGTCCCAAAATTTCTACCTTTCCTGCAAGGCCTCTTAGGAAGGTGTCCCAGTTTCTAACCTCATTCTATCATCAGGTTTGTAAGAGTTTCTCCTTGTCAATTTCTTTATCTACTGTTAGAAATTTTATTTCTTATCCACAAATTAGTCTTACTCTAGAATTTATTTCCCTCCCTCCCAGAAGTATACTCTCCCAAGTATGAGTTGTAATAATTTCATGGGGGCTCAAGAAGGACAGTGCAAATTTGGCATTCACACTCCAAGTCTTAGAGAAAGATCTAGAATGGGTGTGGCCTTGACAAGCCTCATCTCTAAAAGTCTCTCCAATGGTGTGAGTTGCAGATGGGCATCCTTAATCTTAGTGTTAAGTGGGTAGCTGTTGGATTACACACACACACACATACTCTCTCTCACACACACACACTCCCTCTCTCACACACACACTGTCTCTCACACACACACGCACACACACACCACACAAATGCATACACATCTCTCTTCTGGGCAAATAATGTTCAGGGACAGGAAAGACTAAATCCATAAGGAAGAAGAGAAACGAGTTTCTTCCCTATAATTTTCAAGGCCACTGTTATCCAAAGTTTGTTCTGGTGGTGTTAACATTTTTTTTTTCATTTACTTCCTCATTTCTAAATTGCATCTCATAAGGCTACTGGGTATAAAGTAAATAACCAGTTCAGGTGTCTCATTATACCTGCTTTCTTAGCTGTATGTGACCAAACCAAAGTGTATACATTATTGCTCTTAAATAATGCACCATTCTCTTTTCTGATCTTGGTGGCAGATGTTAGTGAAGAGGCAAGGAGAGGGGAATAGATTTTATTTTTCTAGTAAACAATTATAGAACTGAATTTCTTTGCTTAATGTACATATGGGGGTAATGTTTGTAGTAATGGTCAAATAAAATTTGTTTTTTAGGATTAGAAGATAAAGACACTGTGTGCTTAAGAGTATAAGGTAACTGCTAAGCTTGATATGGAATTTTGGCTGTGCAACTAGACCTCACCTAACACAAATATAGCAAAGAGACCAATTATATGCACTTTCTTAAAGGATAAAATTTTGTTTAATGATAGATTTAATTATTGATAAAGAAGTAATGGGTTGTTTGAAACTATCAAAGCCTAGAGATTGTCTATTATTCTGTTATATTGAAGAGTATTTATTTTTCATTCTTCTTGTAACTTTCCCTTTTATAGAAATATTATTGTTTAATTTGTTTACTTTTTTTACATGCAAAAACATGGAAAGAGCAAGGACATTGACTGGCTGGCAAATGTCAGGGCAAAAGTTATATATAATTATAGCTTCAGATGATGTCTAATTTTCCTATAGCAAGCAGCACAAATCCCTGAAATCAGGACCAAATGCAATCTAAATTTTATACTTGGCCATAGAGATATAAAGTTCCTTTGATAGTATATCATCCATTAAATCTTTTAAAAATGTTACATAAAATATAACTAAATTTGAGATTTTCACCTTTAGTCTTTTATTCTGGATGAAGGTCAGATGTAAAGCTAAATTTTTATTTTTTACTCAGCTATTGATTTTTAGAAATTTATATTTCTTGTCATTCAGTGTGGGATAAATGCATACATATTTTATCACATCTTTTCTTGCATTAATATATTTTTGTGTGTGTGGAAAACTCTTGCCCTTCAGTGATATATATCCTGACTGCATATAATTTTGAGTGTTTTTCACATAACATTCTCAAATTTTAACTCTCTGGTCTAGTAGTTTACATATTCAAGGCAGATGTTATTTTAAATGGTCTGGCCTTATTTATGGGTTGAAATGCGTGGGTTTCTGGTACAAAGTAAATCACTCACAGATATATCTTGTGAAAATGAATAAAAGACTAAAATCAAGTATCCAAGCCTATACCCTATGCTATTCAAATGTAGCCAGTTAATATATGTTAAGCACCTATAAAGATGTTGTCCTAAAGTCAAAGCTCAAGAATTGCTATGCTGAAGGAGCTGTGATTCCTCCACACCCCAGATAGTTGTAAAATACAATTATGAACTATTGCAGTGGTTTTCAACCTAAGCAAAATCTATGGAGCTTAAAAAAAATCCCCATGCTTAGGCTACTCCTCCAACTAATTAAATCAGAAGATTTAGGGGTGAGACTCAGGAATCAATTATTTTCTAACATTTTATTTTGTAAAAATACCAAGCCTACAGAAAGTCTATAGGAATAATAAATCAACGCTCACACTCCTTGCTCTACCTCACTGTTTATATACGTATTAATATATTTTTTATTCTGAAACATTTGAGAACAACTTACTCTCAAATTATACAATTTTATACTCAAATATTTCTGCATGTAACTCCTAAGAACAAAGGCATTTTTCCATATGAATACAAACCAAGCTGGGCGCAGTGGTTCACTTGGAGAGGCCGAGGCGAGCCGATTAATTGAGGTCAGGAGTCCAAGACCCGTCTGGCCAACATGGTGAAACCCCGTCTCTACTTTAAAAATACAAAAATTAGCCGGGCGTGGTGATGCATGCCTGTAATCCCAGCTACTCGGGAGGCAGAGGCACCAGAATTCCTTAAACCCAGAAAGTGGAGGTTACAGTGAGCCTCAGTGAGCTGCGGTGAGCAAGATTGTGCCACTGCACTCCAGACTGGAAGATAGAGCCAGACTCCATCTCAAAAGAAAAAAAAAATCAAACTAAGGAAATTTAACTTAACAATAACATCACAATTATATAATGCACAGATAATATATATCTTTTTTCAAAATTCTCCACTCACTTCAATTACATCCTTCATAGCTGCTCTTTTAAAATCAGGATCCAGTCAAAGATTCACACTTACATTTTTTTGCCTTGTCTCTTTTTTCTTTTCCTTTTTTTTAAATAAAAATTTATCATCTTTGATTTGATTTCAACGGAATGCCATAATTCATATCATGTGATGTAAGTATACTCATAATTGTAAATATCATTTATAAAGTACTTTTGTTTTTATTGATTTTGTTTACTCTATTAATTTTTAATAGGCAAAAATTGTACATATTTATTATATACAACATGATATTTTGAAATATGCATATATTGTGCAATAGCTCAATAGAGCTAATTAACATAAGCATTACCTCACATACATATAATTTTTTATAAGGAGAACATTTAAAATCTATTCTTTCAGCAATTTTCAAGAATATAATAGTTACTAACCACAGTCACTGTGTTTTACAATAAATTGCTTGAACATACTCCTTCTACCTAACTGAAATTTTGTCCTTTGACCAACATTTCCCCAACTCCACCCTTCTCCCTCACCCTCAGCCCCTGATAAACACCACTTTCTTCTTTATTTCTATGAATTTGACATTTTTAGATCCTACATGTAAGTGAGATCGTGTGGTGTTTGTCTTTCTGTGCCTAGCTTATTTCACATAACATAATGTTGTCCAGGTTCATCAATGTTGTCCCAAATGGCAAGATTTCCTTTTTGTTTTTTAAGGCTGCGTAGTAGTCTACTGTGCTATATATACCACATTTTCTTATCCATTCATCTGTTCATGGACACTTGGGTGGCTTCCATATCTTGGTTACTATAAATAATGCTGCAATAAACATGTGACTGCAGATATCTCTTCAAAATATTGATTTCATATCCTGTGGATATATACCCAGTAGTGGCATTGCTGGAACATATGGTGGTTCTATTTTTAATTTTTGGAGGAAACTCCACACTGCTTTCCATAATAGCTCTACTAATTTGCATTTCCATCAACACTGTGGAAGGGTTCCCACTTCACATCCTCACCTTCCCTATTATCTTTCATCTTTTTGATGATAGCCATTCTAACAAGTGTGAGGTGATATCTCATGGGGTTTGAATATCCATTTCTCTGATGATTAGTAATGTTGAACATTTTTCATATATCTCCTGAACACTTGTATATCTTCTTTCTAGAAATATTTATTCAGGACCTTTGACCATTTAAAAAAATCAGGTTATTTATTTATTTTGCTATGAGTTGTAGTAGTTCCTCATATAGTTTGGATATTAATCCCTTATTAGATGTATGGTTTGCAATATTTTCCCCCATTTTGTAGATTTGTCTCTTCCCTCTGTTGATTATTTCCTTTGCTGTGCAGAAGCTTTTTACTTTGATGTAATCCCGTTTGTCTTTTTTGCATTTGTTGCCTGTGCTTTGGGGCGATCTCCAAAAAAATCATTGCCCAAAACAATGTCCTGAAGAGTTTTCTCCCAGTAGTTTTACAGTTTCAGGTCTTATGTTTAAGCCTTTAATCCATAATGAGTGGATCCTTGTATGTGAGTTAGGGGTCTAATTTCAGTTTTTCATGTGGATATACAGTATTCCTAACACCATATACTGAAAAGACTGTTCTTTCCCCATTGTGTGTTTTTGGCACCTTTGTTGAAAGTCAATTGTTTGCAAATGTGTTGATACGTTTCTGGGCTCTGTTATGTACTGTTGGTCCATGTGTCTACTTTTTATTTTATTTTATTTTATTATTATTATACTTTAAGTTTTAGGGTACATGTTTTCTGTCACCCAGGCTGGAGTACAGTGGCGAAATCTCAGCTCACTGCAAGCTCCGCCTCCTGGGTTCATGC
The DNA here is from genome assembly GCF_000001405.40 of Homo sapiens. NCBI lineage: Eukaryota > Metazoa > Chordata > Mammalia > Primates > Hominidae > Homo > Homo sapiens. The sequence continues at coordinate 87,439,463 of NC_000005.10, forward strand.
CATTCTCCTGCCTCAGCCTCCTGACTACCTGGGACTACAGGTGCCTGCCACCACACCTGGCTAATTTTTTTGGATTTTCAGTAGAGACGGGGTTTCACCGTGTTAGCCAGGATGGTCTCCATCTCCTGACCTCATGATCTGCCCACCTTGGCCTCCCAAAGTGCTGGGATTACAGGCGTGAGCCACCACGCCTGGCCCCATGTGTCTACTTTTAATACCAATGTCATGCTGTTCTGACTACAATAGCTTTGTAGTATATTTTGAAGTCACATAGTGTGATGCCTCCAGCTCTGTTATTTTTGCTCAGGATTGCTTTGGCTATTCAGGGTCTTTTGTGGTTCCATACACATTTTTAGGATTTTTCTATTTCTGTGAAAAATGTCATCAAAAGTTTGATGGAACTTGCATTGAATCTGTAGATTGCTCTGGCCAATTTGGACATTTAAACAATATTAATTGTTTCCTTCCATGAATATGGGATATCTTTCCATTTATTTGTGCCTTCAATTTCTTTCATCATTGTTTTATAGCTTTTATTGTATAGGCCTTTCATCTGCTACCTTAATTTCATTAGTAAGTATCTTTAATTTTTTTTTTTTTTGCTATTGTGAATAGGATTGTTTTCTTGATTTCTTTTTCTGATAGTTCATCATTAGTGTGTAGAAATACTACTGATTTTTACTTGTTGATTTTGTATCCTGCAACTTTACTGAATTTAAAAAATTAGTTTTAACAGTATTCTGGTGGCATCTTTAAGATTTTCTATGATTAAGATTAGGTTGTCCGAAAATAGGGACAATTTATTGTCTTCCTTCTACTTTGGATGCCTTTCATTTCTTTCTCTTGCCTCATTGCTTTAGCTAGGACTTCCAGTATTATGTTGAATAGAAGTGGCAAAAGTGGACATGTTTGGCTTATTCTTGAACTTAGAGAGAAAGCTTTCATGTTTTATTAAGTCTGTTCACCTCACCTCAGTTTGTGTGTCTTCTCCAAATCTCACTTTTGGAAATTTTGGAAAACATTTATTCCTAAAATTATCTTTGTAGAAAAAGTACTTTTCACACTTCTTGCCTTGAAATTCATAAGGAACAAAATTCCTGTGACATTATTTATTTTAAAATAGAAGCCTGATCATATGCCTCTCCTATGTATTGGTCCTTTATCACCTTGGCATGGCATAGAAGGCCTCTACTTGCTTTGCCTCAGTTTCCAGTCTCCACTATGCTGCATCCCATGCTCCAGACATTTGGAATTACTTGCTGTCATATTAGCCTCTGTGGATTGACAAAGACTGTTGCCTTCACCTGAAATTATGTGACCACACTTGTTTTACTCAGCATCCCAAATGCAGCCCTTGTATTGACCCCTTTTGTTGACACCACCTTCAGCAAGCACAGCTGATCATTCCTAGTTTTTTTTTTCCTCCATAAGTAACCTTTCAATAGATGTGCCTCTACTGGGGAATTTCTATTGGGTTTATTTATTCCACAGTGCCTTCCCCTTTGTGTCATGAGCTCCTCGAGGGAAGAAACTTTCTTAATTATTTTATTTCTGTAGTTCTAAACCTAGTGCTTTACACATAGGCAGTGCTCTAAATATCTGACAGCTGAACGAAAGCTAGCAGACACAATTATTAAATAGTGGTAAGAATCTAGTTTTCAATAAAGAGCTAGAATAATATTTCAGTCCTTAAAAACAATGCTTCTCACTGGACGCGGTGGCTCATGCCTGTAATCCCAGCATGTTGGGAGTCCGAGGCGACTGGATCACAAGGTCAGGAGTTCAAGACCAGCCTGGCCAAGATGGTGGAACCACGTCTCTACTAAAAACACAAAATTTAGGCAAGCGTGGTGGTGGGCACCTGTAATCCTAGCTACTTGGGAGCCTGAGGCAGAGATATTGCTTGAACCAGGGAGGCGGAGGTTGCAGTGAGTCGAGACTGCACCTCTGCACTCCAGCCTGGGTGACAGAGTGAGACTCCATCTCAAAAAAACAAAAAAACAATGCTTCTTAAACTTCAGTCATTGGTTTGGCCATATCTGATATCACATATTACAGGTATACCTCAGATGTATTGTGGGTTTGGTTCCAGATTACCACAATAAAGCAAGTCACATGAATTTTGTGGTTTCCCAGCACATACAAGTTTTGTTTATAACTATACTGTAGTTTATTAAGTGTGCAGTAGCATTATGTCTAAAAAAAGTACATAACAATTAAAATACTTTATTGCTGAAAAATGCTAATGATCATCATGAATCAAAATCTTTTTGTTAGCAGAAGGTCTTGCCTCAGTGTTGACAGCTGACTGATCACAGTGGTGGTTGCTGAAAGTTGGGGTGGCTGTGGCAATTTCTGAAAATAAGGCAACAATAAATTTTGCCATATCGATTGACTCTTTTTTTCACAAGTTTTCTCTGTAGTATAAGATGTGATTTAATATCATTTTACTCACAATAGGAAGTTTTTTGAAAATTGGAGTCAATCATCTTAAACTCTGCTGCTGTTTTATCAACTAAGTTTATGCAATATTCTAAATTCTTTGTTGTCATTGCAACAATATTCATGGCCTCTTCACGAAGAACAGATTCTTTCACACGAAACCACTTTCTTTGTTCCCACATAAGAACCAACATCTCATTGTTCAAGTTTATCATGAAATTGCAGCAATTCTGTATCTTCCGGCTCCATTTCTAATTCTAGTTCTTTTGTTACTTTTACCACATCTGCAGTTACTTCCTTCACTCAAGTCTTGAACCTCTCAAAGTCATTCATGAGGGTTGGAATGAACTTCTTCCAAATTCCTGTTAATGTTGCTATTTTGGCCTCTGGCCATGAATCATAAATATTCTTGATGGCATCTAGAATGGTGAATCTCTTCCAGAAGGTTTTCAACTCACTCTGCCCAGAAAAAGAATCACTGTCTATGACAGATATAGCCTGTCAAAGTGTATTTCCTAAATAATAAGACTTAAAAGTTGAAATTACTACTTGATCCATGGGCTGCAAAATTGACGTTGTGTTAGCAGACACAAAGACAGCATTCATCTTCTGGTATATCTCCATCAGAGCTGTTGAGCACATTGTCAAAGAGCAGTAATATTTTAAAAGAAATATTTTTTTTCTGAACAGTGTGTCTCAACAGGAGGCTTAAAGTGTTCAGTAAACCATGCTGTAAACAGATGTGCTGTCATCCAGGCTTTCTTGTTCCATTTATAGGGCACAGGCAGAATAGATTTAGCATAATTCTTAAGAGCCCTCTGATTTTCAGAATATCAAATGAGCACTGACTTCAACTTAAAGTCACCAGCTGCATTTACCCCTAACAAGAGAGTTTGCCTGTCCTTTGAAGCCAAGCATTGACTTCACCTCTCTAACTAGGCAAGTCCTAGAGGCCATCTTCTTCCAACAGAAAAATGTGTCATCTATATTGAAATGCTGTTGTTTAGTGTAGCCACCTTCATGAATGATCTTAGCTAGATCATCTGACTAACTTGCTGCAGCTTCTACATCAGCACTTGCTGCTTCATCTTGCACTTTTATGTTATGGAGACAGCATCTTTCCTTAAATCTTATGAAACTACCTTTGCTAGTTTCCAACTTTTTTTCTGCAGCTTCCTCACCTCTCTAAGTCTTCATAGAATTGAAGATGGTTAGAGCCTTGCTCCGGATTAGGATTTGGAAGAGGGGCTGTTGTGGCTGGTTTTATTTATTCAGACCACTCAAACTTTCTCCATATTGGCAATAAGTTTGTTTCACTTTTTTTTTAATCATTTGTGTATTCAGTAGAGTACCACTTTTAGGTTCCTTCAAGATCTCTTCCTTTGCATTCACAACTTGACTAACTGTTTGGCACAAGAGGACTCTACCCATTTCAGCTTTTGACATATCTTCCTCACTAAGTGTAATTATTTCTAGCTTTTGATGTTAAGTGAGAGACCTGTGACTCTTCCTTTCACTTGACCACTTAGATGCTATTGTATGGTTATTAGCTGGCCTAACTTCAATATTGGTGTGTCTCAGGGAATAGGGAGGCCTGAGAAGAGGGAGAGAGATGGGGAATAGCTGGCTAGTGGAGCAGTCAGAACACACACATTCACCGATTAAGTTTGCTGTCTTCTGTGGGTGTGGTTTGTGGTGCCCCAAAACAATTACAATAGCGACATCAAAGATCACTGATCACAGATCACCATAACAGATATTATAATAATAAAATGTTTGAAATGTTGTGAGAAATACCACAATGTGGTAGTGCACTTTATTTTTTAATATACATTAAAATATTCATAACAAAAATTTTAAAGACAGCTTGTCTCTAAAAATCAACTGTCTTAAACATACTTTTCGGTCGCAATAGTACACATATTAATATTTTGAAAAATTTTTCTAATATAAATCTTTGGCAATTCTTAAATGCCTTCAGCCACTGCACATTTTGTAGCTACAAAGCAGATTTTATAATATCTGAGTTTAGAAAACCAACAAAAATTTATAGGCCAAATGAGTCTCCTATTGTTGATACATAATGTTAGGTTCAAGAGATAAATTGCCTTACCAACATTTTTACTGGGCCATCACATTTTTATTAGCCTCATCTACTCTTTGCAATATCACAACAGTGTTGCTGTAGTGGCAGGCAAAATCATCCAGATGTTGCCAGATCAGTCAATCAAATCATTCAATCAACTAAAGCACACACAGTTATACACATATGTGTATGTTAGGTCACGTGCAGAATACATAAAACAATAAGCTCAACATTTGCCTTCAAGGAATGTAGAGTTTAATTGCATATATTAGTTGTATTAAATCTTAAAGCTCTTAATGAGATGATTAAATATTAAGCATCATACATAATAAGAATATGGAAGTTTATAATAGGGTAGCATAACTATTATCAGCTAGATAAGTCAAGCAAGCCCTCTTGGTTGAAGTGATATTTGAGCTGAGAATTATAGAATAGAGATTTAGATAGGCAACTCTGAAATAAAGAGCTACAATAGAAAATTGTGTGTGCTCAGTGGATTGTGAATAGATTCATTCGATCAATTAATTTACCCACTCAGTCATTTCATTGTGTATTAAACAACTATATAGTGAGCACCTGGCACATAGCAGGTACTCAAGCAGTCAGTGGAGATAAAAAAGATCAACGAAATAGGCACAGTCCTTGCCACAGTGGAATTACAATATGGCAGGGTCAGGCGAATGGGAAATGAGTCTGTAACTTGACTACAAGGACTTGTAGGCTGTGTGAAAGAGTTTTATCTTTATTGTAAGAGCAATGGGAAACAACAGAAGGTATTTTAAGCCAAGTGGTGACATGATTAGATTTGTCTTTTGAAAATAATTCTGGAGGTAATTGAACAAAATGTATTGGATGCTGGTTATAGTGGATATGGATCTTTGGAGGCCAGTAGAGAATAAAATCAAAGGATGATGGTATTCTAGACAAAAACTATTGTGGTGGACCTGGAGAGATAATAGAAGGAGGAATATATTTAGTAGGTAAGAACAATATGAATCAGTGATAAATTGGATATGTGGGATGAGCAAGAAGAAATGTCAAGGATAACTCTTGGGTTTTTGACTTGCACATTAACATTTTTTCCTTCATTTCAACTTTGGTGAATCTTGACAATTACGTGTCTTGGAGTTGCTCTTCTCGAGGAGTATCTTTGTGGCGTTCTCTGTATTTCCTGAATCTGAATGTTGGCCTGCCTTGCTACATTGGGGAAGTTCTCCTGGATAATGTCCTGCAGAGTGTTTTCCAACTTGGTTCCATTCTCCCCGTCACTTTCAGGTACAACAATCAGACGTAGATTTGGTCTTTTCACATAGTCCCATATTTCTTGGAGGCTTTGTTCGTTTCTTTTTATTCTTTTTTCTCTAAACTTCCCTTCTCACTTCATTTCATTCATTTCATCTTCCATCACTGATACCCTGTCTTCCAGTTGATCGCATCGGCTCCTGAGGCTTCTGCATTCTTCACGTAGTTCTCGAGCCTTGGCTTTCAGCTCCATCAGCTCCTTTAAGCACTTCTCTGTATTGGTTATTCTAGTTTTACATTCGTCTAAATTTTTTTCAAAGTTTTCAACTTCTTTGCTTTTGGTTTGAATTTCCTCCTGTAGCTCGGAGTAGTTTGATCGTCTGAAGCCTTCTCTGAACTCGTCAAAGTCATTCTCCGTCCAGCTTTGTTCCGTTGCTGGTGAGGAACTGCGTTCCTTTGGAGGAGGAGAGGTGCTCTGCTTTTTAGAGTTTCCAGTTTTTCTGCTCTGTTTTTTCCCCAATCAAATGGAAGCTAGAACTATCAACTGATAGGGAACAGCAGAACAGAAAAAAATTAGATCTTGAGTTCTCTTTGGCTACGTCCCAGCTAAGGTATCTCTGAGACACCCAGGAGATGAATTTAAATATATTTATATACTTATAGATCTAGAACAAGGAATTATACATTTGTGTATTATCTGTTATGTCATTTATTCATTATGTCAAACCAGAATAAGATGCTGATTTGAAGTTAGGAGTGCAAGAAGTTTATTGGTCAGGGATGTAGAAGGTTGATAATACCTATGAGAAAGATAAAGGAGAAAACATGATTGGGCATGGGAAGCTATCAGACCATGGTGCTAATCTGACATCAAACAGGAAAGGAGCAGAATTGGGCAGCAAGAGCCTTAAAGTGTGATGTAAATACGACAGAGTCCTGGCCAACTCAATTGTGATCCCCGGACCAAAGACTGGCCATTTAATAAGTCTGTCATTGGACAGACTGGGTAGGCCCTGGTACACCCACTGTGCTCAGTCATTGGCTGGGTGTTTGCCAAGAAAGTATGGTCTTAGCTGAAACACTGTGGTGAATTCAGAAAGAACTGCAGTGGAGATGTCACCTAACAGTCCTCTTTACTGCTGAATGACAAGTCCTTTCTTGAAGGGAGATGTGAATGGCACACCTTCCTAGTTGTCACATCTAGTACAGATGCAAACTGAAGACAGGCATGTGGAAGAGATACCCTAGCAGAAAATTCAGTGTGAGATATTTGAAGTAGGATTTATTAAAGAATGGTTGTATTTAGGTGAACAGTGGAAAAGTTAGATGAAAACTATGTTTTAAGTGTTCCAATGACAAATAAGAGGTTTGACTGGTACATCTATATATTTATCTATTTTTCAAATTGTTCTAAGGTATAATTGAATCAGTCTCTACAACTGTGTCCTGTATAATAATAACATACATTTAAAACAAATGATGAAGAAACCCGGAAAAAAGAATGAATGTAGGGGGACAATGATATAGAAGGAGCAAGCTGTTTCCAAAATCATGTCACAAAATTCTATACACTGAATTAGAAGTAGGTGCAAACATGGCTCTAAACTAACTGCCAATGCAAAGAAGAAAATATGATTTGCAGTGTCTATAAGACAAAAATTCATTAATTCTTTAAGAGAAACTCATTTTTCTGATACTGAGATTAAGAAAAACCTATAGGTCTTAATGAAGAGCATACCACATAATGTAAGGGGTAACACAATCATCTTTACAATAAACACTAGAAAGAGATATACAATCCTATTCTCAAATTTTCTGCCAGGTTGACTAATGCAATTCTATGTGGGGCCCTAATGACTAAGTTTAATAATAGATTTAAGAGAATTAAGAGGGGACAGATGAACTGAATGTCCTATAGACACTCCAAAATGGATTAGGATTTAAATCACCTCATGAAACCTGAGGACCCTGTTACAGAGACATGACTCAGAGTGTAAGAACCACTACTTCCCCATATAATTGGCCTGAGGGGTTATCAGTGAACCAAATTAATAATGTAATTAAGGAGTAGATTTTGTATCTTTGTATATATTGTACAAATAAGAGCTCCTTGCCAGGTCTTTGACTGGGGCTTCAGAAATTTCAGCATTGGAAAAATGTAAAGCAGATAGTGAACCAAATATTTATCTCTGTTTTTTAAAAAATATTTAAAAAGAAAACCCTTAATCTCAATGAAGTGTTCATAGGACATCTAACCTATTATATTTCTAAACTTAACCTTATGAAATCCTCACAGAAAATCTGTATTTGAAATTTTCTCTTGATTACAATTTTCTCATATAATGATTTAAAATTATGTCAACAAATTATTTGATTCTTCCTTCAAGAGGTGGAGGTTAATTCTGCTCCTTCTTGGATTTGGTGACTTCTTTCTAATGAATAGAATAAATCCTAAGTGATGGTATGTTTTAGTGAATATTCTTAAATACATTTAGTAAATGTGAATATGTTCTCCTTAAATTTTATCCATTTATCTAATGTATATATTCTTCTTAGTATTTTAAAAAATAGTCAAACATTTGAAAGCTGAGTAATAACAAGGTTTGATCTCCTTATTTTCTGATATATTTATTATATTCCTAAGTATATTAGTTAATATAATTTCGATCAGTGTCATTTTAGGAAGCAGCATGATACAGTGGCCCAAACCCTGTAACTTATTGGTTGTGTAAACTTGGATAAGTTATTCAGCATGACTGTGCTTCAGTTTCCTTCTTTGTAAATGGGGGTAATAATAAACTATACCTCATAGGATTGTATGAAGAGTAAATAACTAACATAAAGCACATAAAATAGTACTTAACATATTTTAAGTACCCAATAAATGTTGGGAAATAAAATGTTCGATTAAGTAGATATATTTAAAAGATTTATTTTTATTAAATATATTCTATTTCTCTTGACTTTTTAATAACAGCCATTCTGACTGATATGAGATAGTATCTCATTATGGTTTTGATTTGCATTTGTCTGATGATTAGTGACGCTGGGCATTTTTTCATACGTTTTTTGGCCACTTGTATGTCTCCCTTTGAGGAGTGCCTGTTCACGGCCTTTGCTCACTTTTTGTAATGGGGTTATTTTTCTTGCTTGTTGATTTATTTAAGTTCCCTATAGATTCTGGATATTAGGTCTTTGTTGGATGCATAGTCTGCAAATATCTTCTTCCATTTTGTAGGTTGCCTGTTTACTTTGTTGATAGTTTCTTTTGCTGTGCAGAAGCTCTTTAGTTTATAATTAGGTCCCACTTGTCTATTTTTGTTTGTTTTGTTGTTGTTGTTGTTGTTGCAATTGCTTTTAGGGACTTAGCAGAAAAAGAGAAAAGGGAATTCTTACACACTGTTGGTGGAATGTAAATTAGTTTAGCCACTATGGAAAGCAGTCTGGAGATTTCTCAAAGAACTTAAAACAGCTACCATTTGATCCAGCAATCCTATTACTATTGGGTATATACCCAAAGGAAAATAAATCATTCTACCAAAAAGACACATGCACTTGTGTGTTCATCACTGCACTATTCACAATAGCAAGACATCAAAGGTAGATTGGATGAAGAAAATGTGGCATATATACACCATGGAATGCTATGCAGCTAGAAAAAAGAATGAAATCATGTCCTTTGCAGCAACATGAATGCAGTTGGAGGCCATGATCCTAAGTAAATTAATGAAGGAACAGAAAACCAAATATTGCATGTTCTCACTTATAAGTGGGAGCTAAACATTGAGCACACATGGACATACATATGGGAAAAAAATAGAGAGGGGAGAGAAGGAAAGGGCATGGGTTAAAAAACAATCTATTGGGTACTATGCTCACTACCTAGGTGACAGGAACCACACCTGAAGCCTCAACATCACACAATAGTCCCACATAGCAAACCTGCACATATACCCCCAGTATCTAAAATAAAAGTTGAAATGTAAAATATATGTATTCTAAAAGAATATTTTAAGAATGTATTTAGAATATCCTTTAGAATTTTTTTTGGTAAAGTTGGTCAAACATTCAGGAATAGGTTGTCAAACTAATTGATTTTAGTAGATTGATTTTCTATGAATTTCTACAGTTTTGTTGATTATTATTCTCTATTTATGTATTTATTATTTGTGATGGTGATTTAAAATTTAATTTCTCCAAAAATCATGCCCCAGATGCTATACATGATTAAGTATGCAATTACTATTTTGAAAGGCAGTAATTAGAATAAAAACTCCTTGAAAAACATCAAAAAAGGTACTTAGTGAACACCTGATTAGAAATCTGATCTATTCAGCAACCGGAGAAAATTTCTGTGATATTTTACATCTCTAACTGAAAAATTAGATATTAAGAACATATTGTTACATTATTTTCAAGCTTGCTTATAAAATTACACAAATAGATGTAGAGGGTATGAGTTTTAAGTCAAGTACAGGAGTTTCTTGAAAGAAAAATACAAACCCTGAGTGTGCTAAGTGACAATCTAGAGTCACAGAAAATATCTGTGACTTTGCAATACTGTGCAATGTTTTCTAATTGCATTTAATGAAAAATGTTTATATAATCATTCTTTATGCTGGGGAAATAAAGCCTTCTGCCTTATTTGGTTTTGTTGCTATCCCAGTGAATACTGGACGTTAACTAGTAGTTAATCGCTGAACAATTCAAGCTGCCTGTTTTGGATCCAAAAGTATTCTTAAAGATGGGAAAGCCATATTAACAGCACTAAGCTGTAATATCCAGCCAGTTCTGCTGGATCTCGAATCATAGGATTTTTGCCTTGCAAGAAGATCTGTAAATCATCTATCCCAAACCTTCAGTTGAGGCTACTTAAGGGAAGTTTTTAGAGACTTCAAAGACTTCGTAAGTCCATTTATTTGCTAGGACTACTTATTACAGCTAAATCCTTCAAAGCTTTTGAATGTACCCATGTGCTGAAGAAATTAATCTGCTTGTTGAAGGTCACTTTTAAAATGTGGCTTTGGGCTACTTGAAGAGAAAGAAAAGTGTAAAAGGCAAGGGAAGGTTGGAGGAAGCTCTCATGTTAGTTAACCTTGGCTGCTACCCAAGTTGTGGCTTGAGTGTGCGAGGATGATCTTATGCACACTGAATGGGTGCCATCCTACCAGGAGATAAGGTACACTTGACTGTGGCAAATAAACATAATCTTACTACAGATTCTTCCAAGTTATAAGATTATTTTGTGATTTTCTTCAGCCTTTTTGTTTTAGAGGAAACATTGGGTTTAAGGAATTTTATCTAAAGAAATTCATAACCTGAACATCATATATTTCATATTTACCTGATATTTACTATTTGTGTAATGCTTATAAAATGAATACCGTAAGGATGTAGTTTTGCATTAGTATGGCATTTCAAGAAGAACACCCCAAATGGAGATTCCGGTCTTTTCTCACATATGCTTCCTCTTCTCTAGCCTCTTATGTGTTCGAAATCCACTCTCCACCATGCTGCACTTTCCTGCATGGAGCCTGCCAGACACTTCACCACTTCCCCACCACACTCAGCCTCCTGTGATTGGGAGTTCATCTTTGGCTTTTAGTGGTTCCCTCAAGACTTGCCTGAGTGAATTTAGACACCTGCGCTGCCCGCTGTCTCTCTCAGAGAGCAGGGAACAAGAGATGTTAAATGGGACATTCCCAAATTCAGTCTCCTTGGGGGATGGGGATGGGGCATAAGGATGGTGCAGGAAAGGGTATACATTCCACACATTGGATATTCTAATCCCATTTGATATGTGAACATATCAAATATTACTCCACTATATATGCAGTCTTCTCAAATAGTACTATTGTCTGTGGATCAGTGACTGACATTTGAACCAATCAAACAAACTGCAAGTTAATTCAAGCCCTTGGAACGCATAAATGTCTTGATTGGTCAAACAGAGTTGATATTTCATGATGGCTATCAGAACTAAGTTACTAAATTGTATCTATGTTTCATGCCTAATAATAAAATGAAACTTCATACTCATGTTAGGAATATTATGAGTATAAGGGAGACAGCACCACAAAGGGCTGTGCCATTACATTAGATTGCGGAGTAAAATAAAAGCAGACAACTTTGGAAAAAGCAACTTGTCTTTTTGACTGTGTCTTTGGCGCTAAAGTGCCAAAACTGCGTTTTGGGAGTGCAGCCACGAGTAACAATGAGACAGTTTTGAATATTACCTCCCTCATATTCTTTCTTTCTATTGGCATAACCTACTAAGTAGCTCCTACATTGCATGGGGATTAGAGATTCATTGCGTTTGCAACTAACTTCTCAAATTTTGAGGAAGGAAACCCTGTATTTAGTCTTGGATCACGGGGAAGATAGTGTCTGTCTAGAAAAAAAGGAAATTAAAATTAATATGAGCAAAGCAATTTACTCTTTTTTTCTACATAATCCTTTGAAAATGAATTTGGATTTCTTTTAGAGATCTTAGGTATATCTAAAAGTCTCAAAACCGAAGACGTAAATATGTAAAAAGGGAGTTTCAGGTGACAGTTTGGATATGTTTGCAAGAGGAGAGCAGGCATTTTCCTGTTTTGTGACACTGCCTATAAAAGCAGTCAAGAAACTAATGGGTGAATTTGGCTCTCAGTGATATAGAACTTGAGACAACTTGCTTCTGTTTTCATTTAGTCTGTAGATAAAATGCTGTTTAATTTTAAGGCAGCATTATGGTGACTGTATTATACGATTGCACAGAATGATACTCTTGATAGTCTGAGAAAAACAAATTTTAAAATTTGTATTGTTATCTGAGGAAGCACTTTTTACAGTGGCAATGTTCAGAGACCATCCTCTGTTATAATTCAAGCAGAAGACACAAATATATAAATAATACATTATAAAGAAGTCTCATGTGGTGTGGTTTATTAGAGAATAAAGGAAACTGACTGTCCCTGAATAGAGTTTTTGAATATGGTCTTATACCAAGCTGTACCCATTAGTACTTCTGATTCACAGTAAGCACCTTTTGAGTTATGGTTCTTTCATATCAGTGTAATATTTTATTTTTTACAGTCTTATAGCAGAGTTAGTTGCATAATTATCTGCTATGACTGCAGCTTTTTTATATTGCCAACTGACTTCAGAATTTGGTAGACATTGTTTACCCTTTGCCATACTAGATCTTGTATATTCAATTCAATTTAACAAACATTTACAGTACACACATGTAATAAATGCTAGAAAAGCAGAGTAAAACAAAAAACAATAGAGGAACTATTTGGTGTCTTATATACAGATGAGAGTAGAACTGTGATTTTAATTGCATTAATTCAAATTAGCTACTGTGTATTATAGCTTTCCAAAGTTTCATTTATTTGTTTTGTAGAGCCAGTTTGGGTCTGTGAGTAGGTTGCTAAGATAGCCAGGAGGAAGCCAATATTTGATTTATGAGAACAATTGCCTTTGTAGGCTATGGTTTTGTTTTTTTTTCTTCTTCTTCTTTTTTTTTTTTTTAACCAGAACCGGTCGGCTTTCTTTTTATTCAGTCATAATGATGCTTGTATTTGGCTAGTTGGACTGTTTTACACCTCATACTGTCCCCAGGACCTACAGGGTCTCAGTTCTCCTTGGACTGCTTCTCAGAAGCTACAAAGTAACTTCACTGATCATACTGCCAGCCAGTAACTTTTCCTCTTAGAAAGATCACAGGGCTCTATTACTGACCCAGCATGCTCCAGGATGCTGATCTGCCAAGCCCTGTCCTGTCCAGGCCTGACACATTATATTCTCTTCTGCAATCATAAGTGTGACTTGGAAATTGGTGTTTTTGCATACTTGTATGTGTGAATGCAGTACCTTGTAGCCACTAGCACATGTACATATAGCAGTTTTAGGGACTGGCTCTGCTTTTTCATTTCCCAGAAGTCACTGCCATGCAGATTTTCTGAGAAATGTTGTGTGCAGCAGGATAATGTATGGGTTTTTGTCTTTTTTGTTTCCTGTTCTTATGCCATGCTGTGATGTTGCCCTTCTTGAGGGGCAATGATGCCAGATAGTGGGATGGACAAGCTGAACATAAGGATTAGAAGGAAGTGGTTTCCCTAGCAACAATAGCCATGCAGGGGGAGACACTACTTATCTACTGCTCATAGCTCTTTTCCTCTGGTTTAAATAACATGGATAGAGGATCTAAATGCTAAGTATCTGATTCTGAATCATTTCTAGTGGATGAAATTACAGCAAACAAGCACTGTCTAAAAACGAATTTGGAAATTTGATGAAGGTGCAATATACTTTTGTATGTTGATAGGCACCTCCAAAACTATCTGTTTCCTATTGGTGTGCCATTGCTTTTGCACTCTTTATTAGGTGACACTGGGAAATAGTTATTTCTCACAAAGACAAAGCAGGCAAAGGACTTGCAAAAGCCTGGTTTTAAAAACTTATTTAAAAATTCCCATTATATTTTTAACGTTTAAAAATTATCCTTCTACATCAGTCACTAAAAAGCAATTTGTAGATTACGTTATATGATAAGAAGGTAAGAATATCACTCTAATTTAGTAACTTCATTCTAGTTCTTTATAGTGATCTTATTTTAAAGACTTTAAATTATTCTTTTCTGAATTCTTCACTTATTTTTGTGTTATCTTGATGTTAGAGTATTAATGCTTTGATGTGATTATTAGTCATTATTTGTGAAATGAGAAATGGCATGCTAAATATGGCTCTCCATAGTTGCTGATCAGCATTGCATAACATTTATGTGTATTTCATATTACACAACCAGGCATAATTTTGGTATCTGAGTACTGAATGCGGGTTAAGTAAAAATATTTTCATACTGTCTGAAAGCAACTATGATAAAAGAAAAGATGACTTTCCAAACTAGTACCTCTCAAACACTGGCCCACCTTTGAATAGTCAGTCATTGTTTATTGTTTTTTTAGATTTCCTGACTTACCCACAGTTAGTGAAATCCTGAGCACTAAAAATAAATAGTTGTATATTCCTGAAAAAAAATGTCTAATTTGAGCAAAACTAGGTAAAAGTATAGAGCAATGCTATCTGATAAAAATATGTGAGTCACAAACACAAGTCACATATTTAATTTTAAATTTTTGAATATCTTTTATAAAAAGAAAAAAGAAAAACAAATATGTCTAAAATATTATTTTCATTTTTATTATTTCAATTAATATGAAAATTATTAATGAGATGTTTTACTCTTTTGCATACCCAGTCTTTTAACATCTGACTGTATTTTATATTTAAGCATACCTCAATTTGGATTAGCCATATTTTAAGTGCTCAATAGGCATATGTGCCTTGTGGCTAACATATTGGTCTAGAACATAAAATATCACCAAGGGCATTTGAGAGTCAGTTCCATAGGTTAAGCTACTGATGCTATAGAAATACTGTTTTTCTTAGACAAAAATCTATCATTTGAAATGTCTGGAAAAGTTTATAGCTTGGCAATGTTTTCTAGATTCAATATTAGGTCCTCCTGAAAAAATGCTTAAATGTTCATAAAAACCTTTCCAAAATTTGTCTTATAGGCCATAATTAAGTTGATAATAATATGATTATAGAGACTAGAAAACAGTGGCTAACTTAGCTAATTCTGTTCATACCTTTTTATACGTTCTTGGAAAAACTTCTTTGCAGATTTAGCATTCCAGGTTGTTGTATTAGCATAATAGAATAAAGAATATCTTACAGAAACCAGCTCTTTGCGGACTTTCTTTATAACCATTATTTTTGGAATGTAAACATATGCTGTGTGGATTCAGAGTGACTAAACCGAGAAAACCATACATTTTTCAAAAAGAGGTTTCATTCCAATCTCCTTGATTACAGAGTGATACTTGCTTTCTCTGAATGCCATTACAGAGAAGAAATAGAGGAAGAAGAATATGAGTGTTTTATTTCTGCCAACTGGCTGAGTCAAGCAAATTTCTTTCTCTCCCAATTCCCTGTACTATTTAGAAATCACTTTCAGAAAGATTGACTAGCAAGAATCACAACTAAATTTTCAAGAATTTCTATGGATGAAGATATCATAATTACAAACATATCTAGGATAAATAAGAAACTATTATGTGTGCTCACAAACTCATTTATAAGCTTTCTATTTTCAAAAAAATTGAGACAAGTGTTTCATTTGAAAATTCTGTCCCTTATCATTTATTAATCCTATCATTGGCCCAACTAGAAGTTTCTGAGAATCTAGTCTCATTAGATAAACTTGAACAAGTTCAAATTGCCAATGATTAACAATAAGTAATTTGTGAATTAATGTGAAAAATATCTGTTATTAAATGGATCAGACTAATGAAAGAACTAAATTTCTATATGTGTAGAGATTCAAGTGGCTTGTAAGATATAGAAGCAAAAAGCAACAAATAATTTATAGTTTATTTAACTTATTGAGCCAATAAATATTTTTAGAACTCACACTTCATGCAAATTACTCTTCTTAGATGCAGTAAGAATTCAAAGATGAATTGGATGTAAATTCTGCACTTAAGATTTCATAATTTAGTGGGGGTGAAGGAGATCATAAATAGCTATAATGGAAGCTCCAGAATTTTGAGAGACCTGAGGCAAGGGAGATTTGTTTCCCAGGACTGGGGGTGATGGAATCAGGAAAGGAGACAAAGCAGCTTCCCCAAGAAAATAGATTTGAGCTATTTCTTAATGAATGGGAAGTATTTAGCTGAAAAAAAAAATAGGGGAAGGCATTTAGGTAGAAAAAGTACTAACGAAAGCAAGGCTCCTGAGGGATTACAGAAATTTTCTTTTTTCTTTCCTTTTTTTGTTTTTCGAGACAGGGTTTCACTCTGTCATGCCAGGCTGGAGTGCAGTGGTGAAATCACAGCTCACTGCAGCGTCAACCTCCTGGGCTCAAGTGATCCTCCCATCTCAGCCTGGGAATACCGACGTGCACACCACGCCTGGCTAATTACTATATTTTTTGTAGAAATGGAGTTTCACCACGTTGCCCAGGCTGGTCTCGAACTCCTGAGCTCAAGCAATCTGCCCACTTCGACCTCCAGAAGTGCTGGGATTACAGTCATGAGCCACAACACATGGCCTTACAGGAAAGAATTGAATGGGAAGTGGTGATATATGGCTTTGCATTTTGTTCGCTGATTATATTCTGAATAGAAAGAAGTTTTACAACATTGATTAAGGTGATTCTGTGTAGTTTCTCAGCAACAGTTCAAGGTCTATTTAACTAAGGAGTCTCTTTTGATCATAGCTCCCAGTAAAATCATTCTATTTGCAAATTACAAGCATGTACTTGTTTCTCAAGTTTTATACTATGACAGGGAGTCAGATTCATTAATTCATTCATTATTTTTTCAATATTGACATTAGTGTCATTGTTTTAGCCAAAAAAACAAAATTTATTTAAATCAAATGGAAAAGAGAAGTTAAAATAATATGATCATAATTTGTTATTAATTAAAAACAGATAAATTTTGGCTGTATATTTTATATCTAACGTTTTACTACATTTTATCTGTTTCAGATGTACAGATACTTTTATTTGAGATTTCTTATATTACTTATTAGTTTAGCTTAAACTTCCTCCACCCCTTCCCCCCAATTTAATAAGTATTCAATAGTTTTATTCTCATTAGTCCATGGCTTGACTATATGTAATTCATAACATTTAACCTTTTGGCACTTTTATTGCATCAAGCCTGGACAGCAGCCAGGTGGGTGTTGATTTCTTTTTAATTTGTCTTCCTTGGTGATATCATTAGTCCTAATATTTGGGATTCTTTTTTGGTTTTGCTTTCCCAATAAAGTCATTTTCCCTGCAATAGGCTAATAGGCAATAGGCTAAGACACTTCTTGCCACTGTGAAGAGCACAGACACTGTTTTTAGATTGGTGAAATACATCTTGGTAACAGATACCTTTTGTACTCCATTTTACTTCCCCTCAGCCTGCCTCTGACTTGAGCTACAAGCTGTGGTGGACAGTTTTTATGCATAGTACCACAGCCCCACTTCAAGTGCCTATCAGGTCTTTCTGCTTATATAGCTATACCTATTTTATAGATATACTTGTATCTATCTATGTATCTATATCTATATCTATATCCATATCTATATATTTTTTGCAAGCCAAGGACCATTCAGCCAGAAGCAAGGTAATATGGAATCGTGGGGGCAGTTAATGCTTCTGGGAGACACTCTTAACTAGTGGAGGAAATAAGTTGATGGATGCTTACAGGCTTCCCAGCTCTGTGGAGCCCCAGTTGTCTGCAACACAAAGTAGCTCCATTGGCTTTCTCTTTTATTGGCTTTCTCATTTTCCCTGTTTCACTCTTCACTCCCTCACTCCTGCTTCTGGGAGTCACCTCTCAAATAAACCACTTGAACCCAAGTCCTTATCCCTGGCTCTGCTTTGTGAAGGAAATGCATTTCACCATTCTTAAAAAGGATTATGTACTTTTTTTAGAAATCAAGGTTGAGTACCAGAATGACTAAAGAGTTTATATCAGGCCCCTCAATAGAAAGTTGAGATGAGAATGTCTGAACCTTGTTTATGTGAATGAATTATAATCAAAATGTTAATTTATGTCAAGTTTTAAAAACCTAGTGTTGTATTTCCTAATGGAAATAACATCATAAATGCTGTAAATGATGTCATCAGTAGTTAGCTTCCTAGTTAACAAAAATGAATTAAGTTTCTGACTAACTAAAAAAATTAAGTAAAACATATAATTTATCCTGTTTTATAGAATCACATTATATTAATTTGTTAGGGCTTCCATAACAAAATATCACAGATTAGTTGGCTTAAAGATAAATTTATTTTCTCATAGTTCTGGAGGCTAGAAGTCTGAGATCAAAGTGTCAACAGGGTTAATTTTTTCTGAGGCGCTTCTTGGCTTGTAGATGGCAGTCTCTTCCCTCTGTCTTCCCATGGTCTTCCTCTGTGTATGTCTGTGTTTTAATTTCCTCTCCTTACAAGGACATCACTCATCTTGGACTATTAGGTCCCACCCTAGTAAGCTCATTTTGACTTAATTATCTCTTTAACAACACTTTCTCCAAATACATTCATAGAACTTCAATATATAAATTTGGGGAGGACACACAATTCGGCCCATAACACACATGTAACTTTAAATGTTTCATTACAAGTTGTTTGATACATATAAACAAATATTAATGATGAAAACACCATCCAGTGTGGAAATAGAGCCTTATAAATGCCTTTGCAACCAGTTGGATTCTCCTTTCCTCTTCCATCCTCTTCCTTCACTTCAAGAAAGTAAACACTATTCTGATTTTCGTTTATCAATTACTTTTTAATAGATTAATGACATATGAATATATACTTAAGCAATGCATTACTTTTTTGAGCTTTATAAAATAGCAGTTTTTTGTACAGTTTTATGCACTTGCTTTTTCTCTCAACATTATGTGTTTCAGAGTCATTCATACTGAAGCAGCTAGGTATAATTCATTCATTTCACTATTGTATAATATTCCACTAGATGAGTATACATATACATGACTGTTCATTTACTGTTGATAGAATTTAGCTTGTTTCCAGGTTTTTTTGTTGTTGTTATTAACTATGCTGCTCTTCTTGCACATATCTTTTTCACATATGTGAGACATGCTTTATACCCAGGTCTGGAATTGCTGGATTGTAGGGAATGTGATTATTTACAGATTCACTATTCACAAATTGCTTTCCAAAGTGGTAATGCCAGTTTATGTTGCCATCAATAGTGTCTCAGACTCTTCAATAATTTGTATTGTGGCCAATACTTGTTATTGTAAATTACAATACAGGCTTGTAAATTTATGCCAATGTAGTAGGTGCCAAATGATATCAAATTGTGTTTCTAATTTACATTTTCCTGACAACTAATAATTGCTAATGAGCCTCTTTTCTTATGTTTATGAGCCATTCATATTTCTCATCTACAAAATGCTTTCTTTTAATTTTTTAGCCTACTTTTCTACTGGGTCTTTTGTCTTCTTTTTTATGTGATAGCTTTTTCTGTACTGAGATAAAATTCAATTTTTGCCTGTATTTCTTGCAGATATCTTCTCACAGTTTGTAGTACCATTTTACTTTCTTTGTCTTTTAATGAACAGAAATTATTAATTTTAATATAGTTGAACTTAGCAGTGTTTTCTTTTATGATTATTTTTCATAGATTGTTTAAAAAATCTTTCCCTATCCTAAGGGCATATATATATATATATATTTTCTCTAAAAACTTTATGGTTTATCCTTTACATTTACATTTTTATTCCTTCAGTAATGGACTTTTAGGTATGGTATAAGGTAGGGACTTAGCTCCATTTGTCTTCCACATTGATTATCAATTGTCCTATCAGTTAGAATAAAATCACCACTATGCTTTTGTATGTCTTGCTAAATATTCCAGTTGGAACTGAAATTTTATTAAATTGTATTTTCTTTTTAATTGATATATAATAATTTATATATTTATTGAGTATATGTGAGTGTTTGTTACATGCAGAGAAGGTGTAGTGATCAAGTCAGGGTATTTAGTATATTTACCACCTTGAGTTTTTTATCATTTTTTTACCTTTTTAAATTTCTATAGGTTTTTGGAGAATAGGTGCTATTTGGTTACATGAGTAAGTTCTTTAGTGGTGATTTATGAGATTTTGGTGCACCCATCACCCAGGCAATATACACTGAACCCAATTTGTAGTCTTTTATCCCTAACCCTCTTTCCACACTTTCCCCCTGAGTTCCTAAAGTCTATTGTGTTATTTCTTTGTTTACTTGTTGATTGATGGGCATTTGGGTTGGTTCCACACTTTTGCAACTGAGAATTGTGCTGCTATAAACATTCGTGTGCAAGTATCTTTTTCATATAATGACTTCTTTTCCTCTGGGTAGATACCCAGTAGTGGGATTGCTGGATCAAATGGTAGTTCTACTTTTAGCTCTTTAAGGAATCTCCACACTATTTTCCATAGGGGTTGTACTAGCTTACTTTCCCACCAGCAGTATAGAAGTGTTCCCTATTCAGTGCATCCACACCAACATCTATTTTTTTTTTTTTGTAATGGCCATTGTTGTAGGAGTAAGGTGGTATCACATTGTGGTTTTGATGTGCATTTCCATGATCATTAGTGATATTGACATTTTTCATATGTTTGTTGGCCATTTGTATATCTTCTTTTGAGAGTTGTCTATTCATGTTCTTAGCCCACTTTTTGATGGGTTTGCTTGTTTGTTTTCTTGGTAATTTGTTTGAGTTTGTTGTAGATTCTGGATATTAGTACTTTATCAGATGTAGAGATTGTGAAGATTTTCTCCCACTCTGTGGGCTGTCTGTTTACTCTGATGACTGTTCCTTTTGCCATGCAAAAGATATTTAATTTAATTAAGTCCCAGCAATTTGTCTTCATTTTTATTGCATTTGCTTTTGGTTCTTGGTCATGAAATCCTTGCGTAAGCCAATGTCTAGAAGGGTTTTTCTGATGTTATCTTCTAAAATTTTTATAGTTTCGGGTCTTAGATTTAAGTCCTTAATCCATTTTGAGTTGATTTTTACAGAAAGTGAGAGATAAGAATCCAGTTTCATTCTCCTACATGGGGCTTGCCAGTTATCCAGGCAACATTTGTTGAATAGGGTGTCCTTTCCCCCTTTGTGTTTTGACACTATTCCACAAGCTAGAGAAAGAGGGAATCTTCCCTAAATCATTCTATGAAGCCAGTATCACCCTAATACCCAAACCAGGAAAGAACATAACCAAAAAAGAAAACTACAGACCAATATCTCTGATGAATATGGATGTAAAAATCCTTAACAAAATACTAGCTAACCAAATCCAACAACATTTCTAAAAGATAATCCACCATGATCAAGTGGGTTTCATACCAGGGATTCAGGGATGGTTTAACATACACACGTCAATAAATGTGATGCACCACATAAACAGAATTAGAAACAAAAATCACATGATCATCTCAGTAGATGCAGAAAAAAATCCAGCATTCCTTTATGATGAAAACTCTCAGTGAAATCAGCATACAAGGGACCTACCTCAATGTAATAAAAGTCATCTATGACAAACCCACAACCAACATAATACTGAATGGGGAAAAGTTGAAAGCATTCCCTGAGGACTGGAACAAGACATGAGTGCCCACTCTCACTGCTTATCTTCAACATAGTACTGGAAATCCTAGCCAGAGCAATCAGACAAGAGAAAGAAATAAAGGGCATCCCAATTGGTAAAGAGAAAGTCAAACTGTCTCTGTTTGATGATGATGTGATTGTATACCTACAAAACCCTAAAGATTCCTCCAAAAAGCTCCTAGAAGTGATAAAAGAATTCAGTAAATTTTCTGGATACAAAATTAATGTATACAAATCAGTAGGTCTTCTATACACCAACAGCGACCAAGCTGAGAATCAAATCAATATCTCAACCCCTTTTACAATAGCTGCAAAAAAAATAAAATACTTAGGAATATACCTAACCAAGGAGGTGAAAGTCCTCTACAAGGAAAACTACAAAACACTGCTGAAAGAAATCAGAGATGACACAAACAAATGGAAACACATCCCATGCTCATGGGTGGGTAGAATCAATATTGTGAAAATGACCATACTGCCAAAAGCAGTCTACAAATTCAATGCAATTCCATCAAAATATCACCACATTCTTCACAGAACTAGAAAAAAACAACCCTAAAATTCGTATCACCCAAAAATGAGCCTGCATGACCAGAGCAAGACTAAGCAGAAAGAACAAATCTGGAGGCATGACGTTACCTGATTTCAAACTATACTATAAGGCCATAGTCACCAAAACAGCATGGTACTGGTATAAAAATAGGCACATGGACCAATGGAACAGAACAGAGAACCCAGAAATAAACCTAAGTACTTACAGCCAACTGATCTTTGACAAGGAGTTTTTATCATTTTTATGTGTTGGTATCATTTCAAGTCCTCTCTTCTACTTACTAAAATATATATAATATGGATGCTAAGTATAGTCACCCTAGTCTGCTTTCAAACATAAGAACTTATTTTTTCTATCTAACTGTATGTTTGTACCCATCATCAATCTCTTTATCACCCCCACACCCACCCACTTCACAGTCTCTGGTATCTATTGCTTTATTCTCTGTGCCCATTAGATCAAGGTTTTTAGCTCCCACATATGAGTGAGAACATGTGGTATTTGTCTTTCTGTGCCTGGCATATTTCACTAAATATAATGACCTCCATTTCCACTCATTTTGCTGCACAGGACAGGATTTCAGTCTTTTTTACGGCCAAATAGTATTCCACTGTGTGTATATATCACATTACTTTTCACTATATCTTTGCTATTGTGAATGGTGCTATGATAAACATGCAAATGAAGCTATCCCTTTGATTACTGATTTCTTTTCATTTGGATAGATACCCAGTAGTGAGGCTGCTACCCAGTAGTGGGATTGTATGGTAGTACTATTTTCAATTTTTGAGAAATCTCTATACAATTTTTTTTATAGTGGTTGTACTAATTTACATTCCTACCAACAGTGGATAAGAGCTCCTTTTTCTCTGCATCCTTGCCAGATCTGTTTTTTTTTTCTTTTTAATAATAACCATTCAAACTGGGGTGAGATAATATCTCATTGTGGTTTTTGATTTGCATTTCCCTGATGATTAATGATGTTGAGAATTTTTTCATACACCTATTGGCCATTTGTATATCTTCTCTTGAAAAATATCTATTCATGTCCTTTGCCCATGTTTACATGGAATTATTTGTTCATTTTTTACTTTTGAGTTGTTTGAGTTCCTTTTATATCCTGAATATTAGTTCCCTGTCAGATGAGTAATTTGCAAAAATTTTCTTCCATTTAAGAGGTTGTTTCTTCACTCTGGTGATTTTTTCTTTTGCTGTGCAGAAGCTTTTGAGTTTAATATAGTCCCGTATGTTTATTTTTGTTTTTATTGCCCATGTTTTTGAGGCCTTAGCCATAAAATCTTTGCTTAGGCCAATGTCCTGAACAATTTTCCGTATGTTTTTTCCTGGTAATTTTATAGTTTGGAGTCTTATGTGTAAGAAGTTTTTAATTCATCTTGAGTTAATTTTTGTATACAATGAGAGATAGGGATCCAGTTTCATTCTTCTGCACATGGTTACCCACTTCTACCAGCACCATTTATTGAATAGGGTGTCCTTTTCCCAGTGTATGCTCTTGGCAACTTTGTCAATGATCAGATGACTGTAAATACGTGGATTTATTTCTGGGTTCTGTATTCTGTTCCATTGGTCTATGTGTCTGTTTTTATACCAATATTGTGCTGTTTTTGTTACCATGGCCTTTTAACATGTTTTGAAGTCAGATAGTGTCATGCCTTTAGCCTTGTTCTTTTTGTTCACGGTCATTTTGACTATTCAGCCTCTTTTTTGGTTCCATACACATTTTAAGATTGTTTCTTCTATTTCAGTAAAAAATGACATTGGTATTTTGATAGGAATTGCATTTAATCTGTAGATTTCTTTGTGCAGCATTGCCATTTCAAGGATATAAAATCTTCCAATCCATGAGCCTGAGAAGTCTTTTCATTTTTGTATCTTCTTAAATTTCTGTCACCAGTGTTTTAGTTTTCCTTGTACAGATCCTTTGCCTCCTTAAATTTATTCATAGTTATTTTATTTTTTGGTAGCTATTCTAAATTGGATTACCTTCTTGATGTATTTTTTGGCAATTTCATTTTTGGTTTATAGATATACAAATGGTTTTTGGATGTTGATTTTGTACCCTGCAACTTTATTGAATTTGTTGATCAGCTCTAAGAGTTTTTTGGTGGAGTTTAAAAATTTTTCTAAATATAAGATTATGTCATCTGCAAAGAGGAACAATTTGACTTCCTTTTTTTTTTTTTTTTTTCCAATTTGTGTGCCTTTTCTTTTTTTCTTGCCTGATTGCTCTGGTCAGGATTTCTAGTATTATGTTAAATAGAAAAAGTGAAAGTAGGCATTCTATTCTTGTTCTAGTTCTTTCCCCATTCAGTATGATGTTAGCTGTGGGTTTGTCATATATGGCCTTTATTATTTTGAGCAATGGTCCTTCTATGCCTAGTATGTTGAGTGTTTTTATTATGAAGGTATGTTGAATTTTGTCAAATGCTTGTTTCTATTGATATGAGTATATAAATTTTGCCCTTCATTCTGTTGATGTGACATATCACATTTATTGATTTGCGTATGTTGAATCATCCTTGCACCCCTAGGATAAATCCCGCTTGATCATGGTGTATTATCTTTTTGATGTGTTGTTGGATTCTGTTTGCTGTTATTATTTTTTTTTTTTTACCTATGATTCTCAGGAAATTTGGCCTGTAGTTTTATTTTTTTGTTGTTGTGTTTTCATCTGTATTTGGTATTAAGGGCAATGCTGATCTTGTTGAATGAGTTAGAGAAATTCTCTCCTCTTCACATTTTTGGAATAGTTTCAGGAAAATTGGTACGAGTTCTTGAGACACTTGGTAAAATGTAGTGGTAAATCCATCCAGTCCTGGTGTTCCCTTTGTTGGGAGACTTTTTATTACTGATTCAATCTTGCTACTCATTATTGGTCTGTTCGGGTTTTCTACTTTTTCCCTGATTCAATCTTGATAGGTTGTAAATTTCCAGAAATTTATCCATTTTCTCTAGGTTTTCCAGTTTGTTAGTTTATAGTTATTCATAAGTCTCTGATAATCTTTAATATTTCTGTGGTATCAGTTGCAATGTCTCATTTTTATTTCTGATTTTATTTGGGTATTCTTTTTATTTTGGCTAGTCTAGTTAGTGATTTATTGATTTTCTTTATCTTTTTGAAGAAACAACCTTTCATTTCATTAATTGTTTGTATTTTTTTTTGGTCTCTATTTCATTTAGGTCTGTTCTGATCTTTATTTTTTTCTCTGCTAATTTGGGGTTTGGTTTGTTCTTGCTTTTCGAGTTCCTTGTGATGCATCATTAGATTCTTATGTGAAATATTTCCTTTTTTTTGGATTGAGATTTTCTTTTTTTTTAATACTTTAAGCTCTGGGGTGCATGTGCAGAACGTCCAGTTTGTTACATAGTTAAACACGTGCCATGGTGGTTTGCTGCACCCATCAGCCCATCATCTACATTAGGTATTTCTCCTAATGCTCTCCCTTCCCTGAGTCCGCACCCTCTGACAGGCCCTAGTGTGTAATTTTCCCCTCCCTGTGTCCATGTGTTCTCATTGTTCTACTCCCACTTATGAGTGAGAACATGCAGTGTTTGGTTTTCTCTTTTTGTGTTAGTTTGCTGAGAATGATGGTTTCCAGCTTCATCCATGTCCCTGCAAAGGACATGAGTTCATCCTTTTTTATGACTGCATAGTATTCCATGGTGTATATGTGCCACATTTTCTTTATCCAGCCTATCATTGATGGGGATTTGGGTTGGTTCCAAGTCTTTTGTATTGTGAATAGTGCCGCAATAAACATATGTGTGCATGTGTCTTTATAGTAGCATGATTTATAATCCTTTGGGTATATACCTAGTGATGGGATTGCGGGTCAAATGGTATTTCTGGTTTTAGATCCTTGAGGAATCACCACACTGTCTTCCACAATGATTGAACTAATTTACACTCCCACCAACAGTGTAAAAGTGTTCCTATTTCTCCACATCCTCTCCAGCATCTGTTGTTTCCAGACTTTTTAACGACTGCCATTCTAACTGGCGTGAGATGGTATCTCATTATGGTTTTGATTTGCATTTCTCTAATGACCAGTGATGATGAGATTTTTTTCATGTTTTTTGGCCACATAAATGTCTTTTGAGAAGTGTCTCTTCATATCCTTTGCCCACATTTTGATGATATTGTTTGTTTGTTTCTTGTAAAATTGTTTAAGTTCTTTGGAGATTCTGGATATTTTAGCCCTTTGTCAGATGGATACATTGCAAAAATTGTCTCCCATTCTGTAGGTTGCGTGTTCACTCTGATGATAGTTTCTTTCACTTTGCCGAAGCTCGTTAGTTTAATTAAATCCCATTTGACAATTTTGGCTTTTGTTGCCATTGCTTTTGATTTTTTAGTCATGAAGTCTTTACCCATGCCCATGTCCTGAATGGTATTGCCTAGGTTTTCTTCTAGGGTTTTTATGGTTTTAGGTCTTATGTTTAAGTGTTTAATCCATCTTGAGTTAATTTTTGTATAAGGTGTAAGGAAGGGGGGGTCCATTTTCAGTTTTCTGCATATGGCTAGCCAGTTTTCCCAACACCATTTATTAAATAGGGAATCCTTTCCCCATTGTTTGTTTTTGTCAGGCTTGTCGAAGATGGTTGTAGATGTGTGGCATTATTTCTGAGGCCTCTGTTCTGTTCCATTGGTCTATATATTTGTTTTGGTACCAGTACCATGCTGTTTTGGTTACTGTAGCCTTGTAGTATAGTTTGAAGTCAGGTAGCGTGATACATCCAGCTTTGTCCTTTTTGCTTAGGATTTTCTTGCCTATGTGGGCTCTTTTTTGGTTCCATATGAAATTTAAAGTATTTTTTCCAATTCTGTGAAGAAAGTCAATGGTAGCTTGATGGGGATAGCATTGAATCTATAAATTACTTTGAAGAGTGTGGTCATTTTCATGATATTTATTCTTCCTATCCATGAGCATGAAATGTTTTTCCATTTGTTTGTGTCCTCTCTTATTTCCTTGAGCAGTGGTTTATAGTTCTCCGTGAAGAGGTCCTTCACATCCCTTGTAAGTTGGATTCCTAAGTATTTTATTCTCTTTGTAGGAACTGTGAATGGGAGTTCACTCATAATTTGGCTCTCTGTTTGTCTGTTATTGATCTATAGGAATGCTTGTGATTTTTGCACATTGATTTTGTATCCTGAGACTATGCTGAAGTTGCTTATCAGCTTAAGGAAATTTTGGGCTGAGAGGATGGGGTTTTCTAAATATACAATCATGTCATCTGCAAACAGAGACAATTTGACTTCCTCTTTTTCTATTTGAATACCCTTTTATTTCCTTCTCTTTCTTGATTGTCCTGGCCAGAATTTACAATACTATGTTGAATAGGAGTGGTGAGAGAGGATATCTTTGTCTTGTGTCGGTTTTCAAAGTGAATGCTTCTGTGCTAGCGTCAGGGTTCATGGGGGTAGAGGAGCCCTCCTGTGGTTTGGATTGTAGCAGTCTGTGGTGGGGATGTGAATCTCTGAAGTTCTCTTATTTACCCTTTCCTCACAATATCAAGTTCACTGCAGCTCCCAGCCAATCTCAGCCAAGCTGGCCACTCATTTCCTTCTTCTTCTCGCTTCAGGTGCTTCCCATGATTTCTCTGTTGGACTCCAGTATTAGTCCTAGATGTTCTATTTGAAGTTGATTATGTGTTCATAATTTTGATTTTGCTTCCTGGAGAGGGCGGGTATCTTATGTTGCTAGTCGGCTATCTTGAACAGGAATCAGAACTAAAACATTAGAAATAGAGAGAAGTTTGTGAACAGCCTCATGAATGGAATATAACCCACTCAGGAAGGTTTCTACTATTTTCTTTTGAGTAAAACAGAGTATTGGCATTCTCATCAAAGAACAGGGAGAGGGAAGAGTGGTTTCCACTGCAGAGACGAAAACCTGTCAATGTTATATCAATAGGTAGATGGTAGAAGAAAAAAAATAATAAAACGGTATTTAGTTATGGTGAACACAATGAGATTTATCCTAAATTGGAATAATTAATAATGTACAGAACATTCACAAGCTGAATATGGAACTAGAAAGCATTTGACCTTTATTATCTATATTTTTTTATTTGAATCACTTTATTTTCTATTTATATTCTTTTAAATTTTTATTTATTTTTTAATTATTTAAATTATACTTTAAGTTCTGGGATACATGTGCAGAATGTGCAGGTTTGTTACATAGGTGTACACGTGCCATGGTGGTTTGCTGCACCCATCAACCCATCATCTACATTAGGTGTTTCTCCTGATGCTATTCCTCCCCTACCCATCCCCTCCCCCAACAGGCCCCAGTGTGTGATGTTCCTCTCCCTGTGTCCATGTGTTTTCATTGTTCAACTCCCACTTATGAGTGAGAACATGCAGTGTTTGGTTTTCCGTTCCTGTGTTAGTTTGCTAAGAATAATGGTTTCCAGCTTCATCCATGTCCCTGCAAAGGACATGAAGTCATCCTTACCTATAATGTTTTTAAGAAGACCTTTAGCTATTGTCTACTTCAATTCCTTTATCTTATCAGACATACATGTAAGACACAGAGAAATGAAGGAACTCCCCCAAAGACACATTGTGATTTGGGGCAAAACTATGGCTACAGTTCAAATTGGACTTTTGAAGCTTGCAGACCTATAAGCAAAAACAAATGACAAGAACACACATGTTTTTGATTTTGTTTTTGTATTTATCTATTAGCACAGTTTGAAGATTTTGGACTATTCTTTATTTGCTAAATGTATTAAAATGTGAACTGCTAGCATGCAAAGCAAAAGAATGCATTTTGAAAATTTTATTCTTTATGCCTATGTCAAGAAGGAAGGTTAATCCTAAGGATAATTCCTTCTATCATATTCCTAGCATGAGTGAGTTTCCTCTTTTAAGCCGTATCAGTTTGCTTCAAGGTGGAAAACATAAGCAACAAAGTATTTCTCTCTTGGTAAACAAGTTGAACTTTCTCACCTCCAGTTAGCATGAATAGTTTTGTTTGGCTACTGACAAATAATAGTTTGAGGATAGCATAAAAGAGTAACCAAAAATGCACGTTTTTACCTTCACCAGACTTCTTTTACAGTTGATAAAATGTTACAAAACTCACAAGCTGTGATTCATGTATTTATGACTTGAGGTTCTACAACTTTATTTTCTCTTGTGGAAAAAAAGACAATCACTATAATAATTTGTCTTAGAGATATACTTTTCATTTTTTTCATAAAGATCTTCCATCTAGTATGTAGGCTACAGCACTTGGCAGGCAGGAAATTATTTATCAGACTATCTTATAAAAGCAACTTTTCAGACTGGATGCCGTGGCTCACGCGTGTAATCCCAGCACTTTGGGAGGCCGAGATGGGCAGATCACCTGAGATTAGGAGTTCAAGACCAGCCTGGGCAACATGGCAAAACCCTGTCTCTACTAAAAATACAAAAATTAGGTGTGGTGGCCGGCACCTGTAATCCCAGCTACTTGGGAGGTTGAGGCAGGAGAATCACTTGAACCTGGGAGGCAGATGTTTCAATGAGCTGATATCGCGCCGGTGCACTCCAGATTAGGCAACAGAGAGAGACTCCATCTCAAACAAACAAACAAAAACAAAACAAACAAAAAAAGCAACTATTCCATCATAGATACCCATCAATAATTTGGAACTCTGAAGGAAATTTTTTTCTTTCTTCTTTATAGCAAAATTATTCTACAATGGTTAATGAGCATAAACTTCTGAGGTTTATTCCATTGTGTTCAAATTGTTTCCTAATTTTTTGGATCTCCAAAACTTGACTATTTTAATATTGTTGCTATATTGGGAGATGAACTAAAATCTCAAAGTGAGAGAAAATATTTTCATGGGAAAGTTAAGAACAAGATGGAGGAAAAGGGACCTCCATCAGTGATTGATGAATTAGGCTTTCCTGAAGAAAGTAGAGAATAAGGAGCTGAATGCAGAAATAAGGAACAAAAAGCAGATTGGTTATTTCGAAATTGCTTTCCTTATAGGATTAAAACAGAGATCCCTTAGTTAGGTAAACCAGGCCCTTTCTGATTGGTTGCTGTGAATCTCCTGGTTTTTTGAATACTGGCTCATTTTGAAGTTCAGTTTCATTATGTGGCACCTAACAGGAGCGATTCCATTCTGGTTCTGTCTGGTCTTTTGGGGCCTAGAGCACAGCCTCAGCCCTAAACAATGGCTTCTCTTCCACTTTGTTTAACAGTTCTCTGAACTCTTTCAAATTAACGTTTCCGTATGGCATGAGACAAAGGTAATGGTTCATTTGTTCTCCATGTGGCTATCTAGTTGTTATAACACTATTTATTGAAAAGTGTATCTTTTCTTTATTGAATTACTATCATATCTTGTTAAAAATCGAGGATACGTGTGTAGGTCAATTTCTGGATTCTCCATTCTGTTCCATTGATCTCTTGGCCATATACCACACTGTCTTGATTACTGTAGCATTATAATAAATCTTTAAATAAGGGAGTATAAGTCCTTCAACATTGTTCTTTTTAAAAATTCTTTTGGCTATTTTTGGTTCTTACCATTTTCACATAAATTTTATAGTTTGTCAAGATTTAGCAAAGCCCTGTGGCAGTTTTGATTGGAATTGCATTAAACTTATAGATAAATGATGACTAATGGGAACGTAATGCATGTCAAAATATGTAAGCACATGTAATTTAAATATTTCTGGTAGACACATTAAAAAGAAAAAAAACCATGAAATTAATGTTAATAATTATTTTATTTACCCCAATATATGAAAACATCAACCTGTAATCAATATAAAAACATTGATATGATATTTTATTCTTTTTTTGTACTAAGTCATTGAAATCTGGTGTGTTTTTACACTTACAGCACACCTTAGTCACCTTAGTCTGAATTAAGATTCAGACTAGCCACATATCAAGTGTTTAGTAGCCTCATGTGGCTCATGGATACCATACTGAACAAAATAACTATAGATCAATTTGGAGATAATTGTCAAATAAATAGTATTTAGTATTCTTAACAAAAAATGAATTTAAAAGTGTATTATTAAGTGTCTTATTTATCTAAACAGGTATTAGTGTACAGTTCTTGCATGTACTTTGTTAAATTTATTCCTAAGTACTTCAGGTTTTTGCGTGCTGTTATTAATGGTATTGTTTTTCATGTTTTAGTTTTTAATTGTTCATTGCAACTTATATAAATAATTGAATTTTGCGTATTGGCCTAGTATATTCTGCAACTTATTGAAAGTGTTTACTAGCTCTGGTATGTTATTTTGTTGACACTTTAGAACTTCCTACCTAAAAAAAATATGTCTGTAAATAAAAGCAGTTTTCACTTATAATCTGTATGTCTTTTATTTCTTTTCCTTGTATTGGGTAGAACCTGCAGGACAGCATTAAAAGGAAGAGGACTCTCTTGTCTTGCTCCTGTTAAGGCAACAAGCTTCAGTCTTTCACTGTTAAGGATAAAGTTATTGATATGTGCTTTGTAGGTGTTCCTTATCAAGTTGAGGATTCTTTTTTTATTCCTAGTTTTCTGAGAGTTTTTTAAAATCATGAATTGGTGTTGAATTTTGTCAAATGCTTTTTTTCCATTTATTGAGATGATCATATGATCTATTTTATTATTTCTTTTTTTTTTTTTTTTTTTTGAGATGGAGTCTCGCTCTGTCACCCAGGCTGGAGTGCAGTGGCATGATCTCCGCTCACTGCAAGCTCCGCCTCCCGGGCTCACGCCATTCTCCTGCCTCAGCCTCCCAAGTAGCTGGGACTACAGGTGCCCACCACCACACCTGGCTAATTTTTTGTATTTTTTTTAGTAGAGACGGGGTTTCACCAATGTTAGCCAGGATGGTCTCGATCTCGTGACCTCGTGATCTGCCCGCCTTGGCCTCCCAAAGTGCTGGGATTACAGGCGTGAGCCATCGCGCCTGGCCTATTTTATTATTTCAATATGAACTATATTGATTGTTTTTCTGATGTTAACTAACCTTGTGTTCCTAGGATAAAACCCATTTGGTCATGATATGCAATTATTTTTATATATTTTCTGTATTATTTTAGTTACTATTCTATTCATGGTTTTTGGGGAATTATTTTCATGGGAGATATTTGTGTGCCGTTATCTTTTCCTGGAATGTCTGTAACTGATTTTGGTTTCAGTTAATGATGACTTGTTATATTGGTTAGAAAGTGTTCCTTCCTTTTCTGTTTTCTTAATGAGTTTGTGTAGGATTGGCATTATTTTTTCTCCAAATGTTTGATGGAATTCAACAATTAAGCAATATAGGCTTGGAGCTTATTTTGTTTTTATGGAAAGTTTTAAGGTAGAAACTCAGATTCTCTAATAAAGAACTATTAGAGGATGGGCAAGATGACTGAATAGGAACAGCTCCGGTCTGCAGCTCCCAGAGAGACCAACACAGAAGGTGGTTGATTTCTGCATTTCCAATTGAGGTACCCATTTCATCTCATTGGGACTGGTTAGGCAGTGGGTGCAGCCCACGAAGGGCGAGCAGAAGCAGGGCGGGGTGTCCCTCACCTGGGAAGTACAAGGAGTGGGGGACCACCCTCCCCCAGCCAAGGGATGCCATGACGGACTGTGCTATCTGGCCCAGATACTACACTTTTCCCATGGTTTTTTCAATCTGCAGACCAGGAGATTCCCTCGTGTGCCTACACCACCAGGGCCCTGGGTTTCAAGCAAAAACTGGGCAGCTGTTTGGGCAGACACCGAGCTAGCTGCAGGATTTTATTTTGTACCCCAGTGGTGCCTGGAACCTCAGGGAAACAGAATTATTCACTCCCCTGGAAAGGGGGCTGAAGCCAGGGAGCCAAGTGGTCTCACTCAGCGGGTCCCACTCCCACAGGGCCAGCAAGCTAAGAACCACTGACGTGAAATTCTCACTGACAGCACAGCAGTCTGAATGGGATGGAGCTTGGTGGTGGGAGGGGTGCCCTCCACTACTGAGATTTGAGTAGGGAGTTACCCCTGACAGAGCTAAGGAGGCTAGGAAGTTTGGACTGGGCAGTACTCACCACAGCTCGGCAAAGCAGCTGTGGCCAGACTGCCTCTCTAGATTCCTCCTCACTGGGCAGGGCATCTCTGAAACAGAGGCAGCAGCCCTTCCCATCTCCCTGGGACAGAGCACCTGGGGGAAGGGGCAGCTGTGGGCGCAGGTTCAGCAGACTTAAACATTGATGCTTACCAACTCTGAAGAGGGTAATGGATCCTGACAGGAGGATTCTCAAGTTCTGCTAAGGGACAGACTGCCTCCTCAAGTTGGTCCCTGACCCCTGTGCCTCCTGACTGGGACACAATTCCTAGCAGGGGTCAACAGACACCTCATACAGGAGAGCTCTGGGTAGCATCAGGCTGGTGCCCCTCTGGGATGAAGCTTCCAGAGGAAGGAGCAGGCAGCAACCATTGATGTTCTGCAGCTTCCGCTGGTGATACCCAGGCAAATAGGGTCTGGAGTGAACCTCCAGAAAACTGCAGCAGATCTGCCGAAGAGGGGCCTGACTGTTAGAAGAAAAACTAACAAACAGATAGCAACAACATCAACATCAACAAAAAGAACCCACACACAAAAACTCCATCCAAAGGTCATCAGCCTCAAAGATCAAAGGTAGATAAATCCATGAAGATAAGGAAAAACCAGCACAAAAATGTTAGAAATTCCAAAAACTGGAATGCCACTTCTCCTCCAAATGGCCACAACTCCTCTACATCAAGGGCACAAAACTGGACAGAGAATAAGTTTGACAAATTGACGGAAGTAGGCTTCAGGAGGTGGGTAATAACAAACTCCTCTGAGCTAAAGGAGCATGTTCCAACTCAATGCAAGGAAGGTAAGAACCTTGATAAAAGGTACAGGAACTGCTAACTAGAATAATCAGTTTGGAGAAGAACATAAATGACCTGATGGAGCTGAAAAACACAGCACGAGAACTTCATGAAGCATACACAAATATTATTAACTAAATTGATCAAGTGGAAGAAAAGATATCAGAGACTGAAGATCAACTTAGTGAAATAAGGCATGAAGACAATATCAGAGAAAAAAGAATGAAAAGGAATGAACAGAGCCTCCAAGAAATATGGGAATATGTGAAAAGACCAAACATATAATTGGTGTACCTGAAAGTGACAGGGAGAATGGAACCAAGATGGAAAACACACTTCAGGATATTATCCAGGGGAACTTCCCCAACCTAGCAAGACAGGCCAACATTCGAATTCAAGAAATACACAGAACATCACTAAGATACTCCTTGAGAAGTAAAACCCCAACACACACAATTGTCAGATTCTCCAAGGTTGAAACAAAGGAAGAAATGTTAAGGACAGCCAGTGAGAAAGGTCAGGTTACCTACAAAGGGAAGCCCATTAGCCTAACAGTGGATCTCACTGCAGAAACCCTACAAGACAGAAGAGAGTGGGGGCCAATATTCAACATTCTTAAAGAAAAGAATTTTCAACCCAGAATTTCATATCCAGCCAAACTAAGCTTCATAAGTGAAGGAGAAATAAAATCCTTTCCTGATAAGCAAATGCTGAGGAATTTTGTCACCACCAGGCCTGACTTACAAGAGTTCCTGAAGGCAGCACTAAATATGGAAAGGAAAAACCAGCACCAGCCACTGCAAAAACATACCAAATTGTAAAGATCATCAACACTATAAAGAAGCTGCATCAACTAATGGGCAAAATAACCAGCTAGCATCATAATGACAGGATCAAATTCACACGTAACAATATTAACCTTAAATGTAAAATGGCTAAATGCCCCAATTAAAAAACACAGGCTGGCAAATTGGACAAAGAGACAAAACCCATCAGTGTGCTGTATTCAGGAGACCCATCTCATGTACAAAGACACATATAGGCTCAAAATAAAGGGATGGAGGAATATTTACCAAGCAAACGGAAAGCAAAAAAGAGGAAGGGTTGCAATCCTAGTTTCTGATAAAATAGACTGTAAACTAACAAAGATAAAAAAAGACAAGAAGAACATTACATAATGGTAAAGGGATCAATGCAACAAGAAGAGCTAACTATCCTAAATATATATGCACCCAATACAGGAACAACCAGATTCATAAAACAAGTTCTTAGAGACCCACAAAGAGGCTTAGACTCCCACAAAATAACAGTGGATTAACCAGACAGAAAATTTACAAAGATATTCAGTACTTGAACTCAGCTGTGGACAAAGTGGACCTAACAGACATCTACAGAACTCTCCGCCACAAATCAACAAAATATACATTCTTCTCAGAACTGCATGCACTTATTCTAAAAATCAAACACATAATTGGAAGTAAAACACTCCTCAAGCAAATGCAAAAGAGTGGAAATCATAACAAACAGTCTCTCAGACCACAGTGCAATCAAATTAGAATTCAGGATTAAGAAACTCACTCAAAACCACACAACTACATGGAAAGTGAACAATCTGCTCCTGAATGACTACTGGGTAAATAACAAAATTAAGGCAGAGATAAATAACTTCTTTGAAACCAATAAGAACAAAAACACAATGTACCAGAATCTCTGGGACACAGCTAAAGAAGTGTTAAGAGGGAAATTTATAGCAGTACATGTCCACAAGAGAAAGCAGGAAAGATCTGAAATCGACACCTGGACATCACAATTAAAAAAAACTAGAGAAGCAAGATAAAACAAATTCAAAAGCTAGCAGAAGACCAGAAATAACTAAGATCAGAGCAGAACTGAAGGAAATGAAGACACAAAAATCCCTTCAAAAAATCAATGAATCCAGGAGGTGGTTTTTTGAAAAGATTAACAAAATACATAGACTGCTAGCCAGACTAATAAAGAAGAAAGTGAGAAGAATCAAATAGGCACAATAAAAAATGATAAAGGGGATATCACCACTGATTCCACAGAAATAAAAACAACCATCAGAGAATACTGTAAACACCTCTACACAAATAAACTAGAAAATCTAAAAGAAATGGATAAATTCCTGGAAACATACACTCTCCCAAGACTAAACCAGGAAGAAGTTGAATCCCTGAATAAACCAATGACAATTTCTGAAATTGAGGCAGTGATTAATAGCCTACCAAGCAAATAAAAGCCCAGGGACAGATGGATTCACAGCTGAATTCTACCAGAGGTAAAAAGAGGAGCTGGTACCATTCCTTCTGAAACTATTCAAAAAATAGAAAAAGAGGGAATCCTCCCTGACACATTTTGTGAGGCCAGCATCATCCTGATACCAAAACCTGGCAGAGGCACAACAAAAAAAAAAAAAAGAAAATTTCAGGCCAATATCCCTGATGAACACCAATGCAAAAATCCTCAGTAAAATACTGGCAAAATGAATCCAGCCGCACATCAAAAAGCTTATCCACCACGATCAATTTGGCTTCACCCCTGGGATGCAAGGCTGGTTCAACATACACGAATCAATATATGTAATCCATCACATAAACAGAACCAATGACAAAACCACATGGTTATCTCAATAGATGCAGAAAATGTCTTCAATAAAATTCAACAGCCCTTCATGCTAAAAACTTTCAATAAACTAGGTATTGATGGGACATATCTCAGAATAATAAGAGCTATTTATGACAAACCCATAGGCTATATAATACTGAATGGACAGAAGCTGGAAGCATTCCCTTTGAAAACTGGCACATGACAGGGATGCCCTCTCTTACCAGTCCTATTAAACATAGTATTGGAAGTTCTGGCCAGGGCAATCAGGAAAGAGAAAGAAATAAAAGGTTTTCAAATAGGAAGAGAAGAAGTCAAATTGCCTCTGTTTGCAGATGACATGATTCTATATTTAGAAAACTCCATCGTCTTAGCTCAAAAACTCCTTAAGCTGATAAGCAACTTCAGCAAAGTCTCAGGATAAAAAATCAATGTGCAAAAATTACAGGCATTCCTATACACCAATAATAGACAAGCAGAGAACCAAATCATGAGTGAACTCACATTCACAATTGCTACAAAGAGAATAAAATACCTAGGATTACAACTTACAAGGGATGTGAAGGACCTTTTCCAGGAGAACTAAAACCACTGCTCAAGGAAATAAGAGAGGACACAAACAAATGGAAAAACATTTCATGCTCATGGATAGGAAGAATCAGTATCATGAAAATGGTCAACCTGCCCAAAGTAATTTATAGATTCAATGCTATTTCCCTCAAGCTACCATTGACTTCCTTCACAGAATTAGAAAATACTACTTAAAATTTTATATGGTACCAAAAAGGAACCTGTATAGCCAAGACAATCCTAGCAAATAGAACAAAGCTGGAGGCATCACGCTACCTGACTTCAAACTACACTAGAAGTCTACAGTAACAAATACAGCATGGTACTTGTACCAAAACAGATATATAGACCAGTGGAACAGAACACAGGCCTCAGAAATAACACCACACATCTATAACCATTTGATCTTCCACAAACCTGACACAAACAAGCAATGGGGAAAGGATTCCCTATTTAATAAATGGTGATGGGAAAACTGGCTAATCATATGCAGAAAACAGAAACTGGACCCCTTCCTTACACCTTATACAAAAATTAACTCAAGATGAATTAAAGACTTAAACTTAAGACCTAAAACCATAAAAACCCTAGAAGAAAACCTAGGCAATACCATTCAGGACATAGGCATGGGCAAGGACTTCATGACTAGAACACCAAAAGCAATGGCAACAAGAGCTAAAATAGACAAATGGGATCGAATTAAACTAAAGAGCTTCTGCAAAGTGAAAGAAACTATCATCAGAGTGAACAGGCAACCTACAGAATGGGAGACAATTTTTGCCATCTATCTATCGACAAAGGGCTAATATCCAGAATCTGCAAGGAACTTAAACAAAGTTACAAGAAAAATCAAACAACCCCATCAAAAAGTGGGCAAAGGATATGAAGAGACACTTCTCAAAAGAAGACATTTATGTGGCCAACAAACATGAAAAAAAGCTCATCACCACTGGACATTAGAGAAATGCAAATCAAAACCACAATGAGATACCACCTCACACCAGTTAGAATGGCAATCATTAAAAAGTCTGGAAACAACAGATGCTGGAGAGGATGTGGACAAATAGGAATGCTTTTACACTGTTGGTGGAAGTGTAAATTAGTTCAACTATCGTGGAAGACCAGATGGCGAGTCCTCAAGGATCTAGAACCAGAAATACCATTTGACCCAGCGATCCCATTACTGGGTATATACTGAAAGGATTATAAATCATTTTACTATAAAGACACATGCACACATATGTTTATTGTGGCACTATTCACAATAGCAAAGACTTGGAACCAACCCAAATGCCCATCAATGATAGACTGGATAAAGAAAATGTGGCACATGTACACCATGGAATACTATGCAGCCATAAAAAAAGAGTGAGTTTATGTCCTTTGCAGGGGCATGGATTAAGCATTCTTAGTAAATTAACACAGGAACAAAAAACCAAATACCATATGTTCTCACTCATAAGTGGAAGTTTAACAGTGAGAACACGTGGACATAGGGAGGGGAAAATCACACACTGGGGTCTGTTGGGGGTTGGGAGGAAAGGAGAGGGATAGCATTAGGAAAAATACCTAATGCATGCGGGGCTTAAAACCTAGATGATGGGTTGATGGGTGAAGCAAAACACGATGGCACACGTATACCTATGTAACAAACCTGCATGTTCTGAACATGTATTCCAGAACTTAAAGTAAAATAATAAAAAAAAAATCTGAAAAAAAGAAAAAAAAAATTGTTATACAAACCAAAAAAAAATTAAAAAATCAAAAAACAACTATTAGGGTTATCTATTTCTTCTTGAGTAAACTTTGGAAAAATGTGTCTTTTAAGAAACCTACTTCATCTTGGTTGTTGAACTTATTTCCAATATTCTATTGTTGTCACTTTAATGTTTATATGATCTTTAGTAATCCTCCCTTTCTCTCTTGATATTGAAAAATTATGTCTTTCTTTTTTTCCTGATCATTTTAGCTAGAGGTTTAGTAATTTTATTGATGATTTTCAAAGAATCAGCTTTTGGTTTTACTGATTTTCTCTATTATTTGCTGTTTTCTATTTTATCTTATTTGCATTCTTATCTTTATTGTTTTCCTCTTTCTACTTACTTCGGTTTTAATTTGCTCTTTCTTTTCTTCCTTCTTTAGACTGAAACTGGAATAACTGATTTTATATTTCTCTTTTTTTTCTATATAGGAATTCAAATCTGTAGATTTAACTTTGTATACTGCTTCAGCTATATACCTTCTTTAATATATTGTTTTTATTTTCATTAAGTTCAAATATTTTATAATTTGTCTCATTTCTTTTTGAGTCCATGGGTTATATAGAACTATGTAGTTAATTTCCAAATATTTGGGAATTTTCCAGATATCCTTCTGGTTTTCATTTTTAATTTAACTCCATTATAGTAACAGAAAAAGTTTGTGAGATTTCAATCCTTTTAAACTAATCCACCATATGACTTACCTTGACAAATGTTCCATGTGCATGTAACAAGAATGTGTGTTCTACAACTGCTGAGTATAGAGTTATATTTATTTCAGTTAAATGAAGTTGGTTAATGGTGCTATTTAAATCATGTATATTCTGACTAATATTCTGTCTCCTTGTTTTATCAGTTACTAAGAGGAATGGTAAAATAACTAGGTACAATTGTGGACTTGTCTGTTTCTCTCTCAGATTTATCAGTTTTTGTTTTCTATGTTCTGCAGTTCTGTTATTAGGTGTGTACTCATTTCGGATTACTATGCCATCCTGGTTAACAAACTATTTGATGATTGTGAAATTTCCCTTTTATCAGTGGTAAAATTTCTTGTTCTGAAGTCTCTTTTGTCTGATATTAACAAAGTCACTCCAGCTTTCTTATGCTTAGTTAGTACTTTCTTGTATATTTTCCAAATTTAACTTTGACTTTTATCTTTATACGTAGTTGTGAAGGAGAAGGTAGTAACCATTGAGGAGAAAGGAAGATGGAAGAGGCTGGTATCCAGCTGATAGTTCTCACAGGTGGGTATATGTGGACTTGTGGAAAAGAATGATGGCTGATTACCAAAGAGGCTGCCATATCCCCTCTTTCCTGGAAGTTCCAGTGTATAGTAATGAAAATAACTACACTTAGCTTTATTGCATGTCAGTTGTGAGCTGAAGAAAAATGCAACCATGCTCATGAGAAACCCAAATTTTACCTTTAATTCAGTAGGAAAAATTTGTTTATATTTCCTGGGTAGGAAAAATTAACAAAGAGATCTCTCCAATGACTTCTGACATTTATCTCATTTTCCTTCCTATTTCTGACTTTTCTTCCGTCTTCCTCTGTTAGTTTCAAATGTTCTGTTGTTTTATTTTTTATAAATTGAATTTTAGTTTCATTTTATCCATTTAATTATGCCTAACTTTTAATCTTGTACTGATTAAAATCTTTATTAGTATTCTTGGAAGAGATTTTAATAGTTTTTTGAATAAAATGTACCCTTAAAATAATAAATAGATGCTATTTCTGAGTAGCTAAAACATGGGTTTTGAAGTAACACCAACTTTTATTCATACCATATTTCTGATACTTGCTTTAAGTTCTGGCTCTTGTCACTAATTAGCCATGTGGCCTTAGAAAGTTACTGAAACTCTCTGTGCCTTTCTCTAACGTGGTGATAATAACAATAATTTTATGAGCACTTACAATGTAAAACTCCTAGAACAGTAACTGGCATACAGTAAATTGCTACAAAATGTTTGTTTTTGTTACTGTTAACATTTGTGTAACTTTATGCAAATTACTCAAACTTTCTAAGATTCCATCCTCACTGGAAAATTGAAATAAAAGTACTTACTTCGTAGTTGTGCTATAATTCCTAGCTGATATAATCTATGTAAATTCAAGTTTTGGCAATCACGGCCATCTAAACACTACACACAGTAAGTGATGCGTTCCTCTTGCAAACTCCAAACCTTAATTTCCTCATCTTCAAGGGTCTTTGCCTTCACCTCATCTCATCAGCTTTCCTTCACACTTTTCCCTGGACCTTGTCAACATCTGGAAGAGAGAGATATCTAAAGTTTTAGATTCTAACATCCCTGCTCTCTGACCACAGTTTTATCTGCCCTGTCATTGCTCTGCTTGGTAAAACACTGACCTTGGATCTTGTTGTCAGCTTTCCTTCCTCAACATCTAGGCAGCCAAGTGCTTATGGAGAGGACTGTACAATAGCAAAGACTAGTGTCACTAAAAACTCATATGCATGGCAATCTTTCTAATTCATCTTTCTGTTTTCCCAGTCTCTTATGCCTGTCTCTCATGTCTTTTGGTGATTATTCAAATCATCTTTATCTGCCCTATGCCTTCCTATTCGCTCTTAGAATATAACCTAGTTAATAAAGACAGTGGAAGTTTCCAAGCAAGAACTTCACAAGTATAAGCACTGATAAGTGGACAGGTACTCAAGTAACATCCTGGCGAAGGTAACATATCTATCTTCTCCTATACTTGCCTTGAGTCTGCAGGCTGGTCTCTTGCTAGTTCTTAGTGGTTTTGTATGAGAACTAGAATTAAAAGTGGAGCCTGAAGATGTTACTGAATTTCCCCAATTTCATGATAAGACTGAAGAGATGAGGAGTTGCTTCTTACAGATAAGCAAAGAAATTGGTTTCTTGAGATGGAATTGACTCCTGGTGAAGATGCTGTGAACATTGTTGAAATGACAACAAAGGATTTAGAATATTGTATAAACTTAGTTGATAAAGCAGCAGCAGGGTTTGAGAGGACTGACTCAAATGTTGAAAGTTCTGTTGTGGTAAAATGCTATCAAACAGCATCACATGCTACAGAGAAATCTTTCATGAAAGAAAGAGTCAGTAAATGCAGCAAACTCCCATTGCTGTTTTACTTTAAGAAATTGCCACAGTCACTCTAATCTTCAGCAACTACCACCTTGACCAGCTATAACATCTAGGCAACTCTCTCCCAGCAAAAAGATTACAAGTGGCTGAATGCTCAGAGGATCATTAGCATTTTTTTTTTTTACCAATGAAGTATTTTAAATTAAGATATGTACATTGTCTGAGACATAATACAATTGTACTCTATATATAATATAGACTTAATATAACATAATTGTATAAAATAGATTTAATATAATTGCATGCTATAGATACTATAATAGACTAAAATACAGTGTAAATATGACTTTTTTTTAAAGAGTTAGAGTCTCACTCTATTACCAAGGCTAAAGTGCAGTAGCATGATCATGGCTCACTTCACCTTGAACTTCTGGGTTCCAGCAATCCTTCTACCTCAGCCCCCCAAGTACCTGGGTCTATAGGCACACTACCAAGCCTGGCTGTTTTTAAAATGCTTTTTAGAGATAGGGTCTCACTATGTTGCCCAGGCTGATCTCAAACTCTTGGCTTCAAGTAATCCTCCTGCCTCAAGTCACTGTGATTACAGGTTTGAGTACAAATATAACTTTTACATATGCTGGGAAACCAAAAAAATTATGTGACTCACTTTATTGTGATATTAACTTTATTGCGGTGGTCTGGAACCAAACCCACAATATTTTCAAAGTATACCCTGTATTTAAATTCATTTTCTTAAAGATTGTATACAGTTGGATCTTGACTTTTTGTTCAGTATAATAGTCCTGCCTTTAATTAGTATGTTTAAACCATTTATACCATATGTATACACTGGTATGCTTGAGTTTAAATCTACTACCTTGTTATCTGTTGACTGTCCCATTTGTTCTTGGTTCATTTTCCCTATTTTTCTGTCTTTTTCAATTAATTTGGTACTTCTTAGTATTTTATTTTGTCTGTTACTGACTTGTTAGCTTCATTTTGTTTTTTAGTGTTGTACTAGGGTTTATGATATCTTTCACTTATGGCAATCTACCCTAAAATCATATCATACTGCTTTATTTGTAACATATGAATCTTAAAGCAGTATACTTTATACTTTTCCTCTCCTGCTTTTTGGGCTATTTTTGTTAAATTTTAGACTTTTAAACATGTCAAAACCCCAATAGTGTACTTCAAATAATCAACCATCCTTTAAAAAAACAAAATAAGAAAGTCTTTTACATTTATCATGTTTAATACTTTTAGTGCCCTCTATTTTTTTTTTTTTTTTCAGATGGAGTCTCACTCTGTTGCCCAGGCTGGAGTGCAGTGGTGATCTCGGCTCACTTCAATCTCCGCCTCCCGGGTTCAAGCAGTTCTCCTTCCTCAGCCTCCTGAGTAGCTGGGACTACAGTCACACACCGCCACACCCGGCCAATTTTTTGTATTTTAGTAGAGACGGAGTTTCACTGTGTTGTCCAGGCTGGTTGCGAACTCCTGAGCTCAGGCAATCCGCCTGCCTCAGCCACCCAAAGTGTTGGGATTACAGGCGTGAGCCACTGTGCCCAGCCAGTGCTCTCTATTCTTATGTGTAAGCTCATGTTTTGCATTTGGTGCCGTTTTCCTTCTGCCTGAAGAAATTAATATATCATTACATATCAGTCAGTCTTCTAATGACAAATTTCTCAGCTTTTATTTTGTAAAACAGACTTTATGTCACCTCAAATTCTTTTTTAAAGTAACACTTTATCAAAGTGTGATTGTCATACAAAAAATCTATACATATGTAATGCATACAACTTGATGAGTCTAGAGACCAGTATACACCTATAAAACCATCACCAAAATCAATACCATAAACATATCTATCACCTCCAAAGTTTCCTTTTACCATTTTATTATTATTATTTTGTGATAAGAATGCTTAATGTAAAATCTACTTTCTTAGCAAATTTCAAAGTATATAATACAGTATTGTTAACTATAGGGACTATACTGTACAATAGATCTAAATAATTTACTCACCTTGCAAAACTAAAACTTTGTATCCTTTGACCAAAATCTCTTCATTTCCCTCTCCTCCAGTCCTTGAAAACCACAATTTTACTCTCTGCTTCTATGAGTTTGACTCTTTTAGATTCCCTGTATCAGTGAGATTGTGTATTTCTCCTTTTGTGTCTGATTTATTTCACTTAGTATAATGTCCTTGAGGCTCATCTGTATTGTTGCAAATGGCAGAATTTTCTTCTTTTTAAAGACT
This sequence comes from Homo sapiens, assembly GCF_000001405.40. Lineage (NCBI taxonomy): Eukaryota > Metazoa > Chordata > Mammalia > Primates > Hominidae > Homo > Homo sapiens. The sequence continues at coordinate 87,484,101 of NC_000005.10, forward strand.
GAATAATATTTCATTGATGGACATTTATTTTACATATGTGTCTTAGCTGTTGTGAACAATGCTACAATGAACATGGAAGTGCCAATGTCTCTTCAAGATCCTGATTTCAATTCCTTTCTTTTTTCTTTTATTTATACTTTAAGTTCTGGGATACATGTACAGAATGTTCAGGTTTGTTACATAGGTATACACGTGCCACGGTGGTTTGCTGCATCCATCAACCCATCATCTACATTAGGTATTTCTCCTAATGCTATCCCTCCCCTAGCCCCCACCTCCCAACAAGCCCCGGTGTGTGATGTTCCCCTCCCTGTGTCCATGTGTTCTCATTGTTCAATTCCAACTTATGAGTGAGAACATGCAGTGTGTGGTTTTCTGTTCTTGTGTTAGTTTGCTGAGAATGATGGTTTCCAGCTTCATCCATGTCCCTGCAAAGGACATGAACTCATCCTTTTTTATGGCTGCATTGTATTCCATGGTATATATGTGCCACATTTTCTTTATCCAGTATAATTAAACTCTTTAGTTTATTTAGATCCCATTTGTCAATTTTGGCTTTTGTTGCCATTGCTTTTGGTGTTTTAGTCATGAAGTCTTTGCCAATGCCTATGTCCTGAATGGTATTGCCTAGGTTTTCTTCTAGGGTTTTTATGGTTTTAGGTCTTATGTTGAAATCTTTAGTCCATCTTGGTTAATTTTTGTATAACATGTAAGGAAGGGGTCCAATTTCAGTTTTCTGCATATGACTAGCCAGTTTTCCTAACACCATTTATTAAATAGGGCATGGTTTCCCCATTGCTTGTTTTTGTCAGGTTTGTCGAACATCAGATGGTTGTAGATGTGTGCCATTATTTCTGAGGCCTCTGTTCTGTTCCACTGGTCTATATATCTGTTTTGGTACCAGTACCATGCTGTTTTGGTTACTGTAGCATTGTAGTATAGTTTGAAGTCAGATAGTGTGATGCCTCCAGCTTTGTTCTTTTTGCTTAGGATTGTCTTGTCTATATGGGCTCTGTTTTGGTTCCATATGAAATTTAAAGCAGTTTTTTTCTAATTCTGTGAAGGAAGTCAATGGTAGCTTGATGGGGATAGCATTGAATCTATAAATTACCTTGGGCAGTATGGCCATTTTCACAATATTCATTCTTCCTATCCATGAGCATGGAATGTTTTTCCATTTGTTTGTGTCCTCTCTTATTTCCTTGAGCAGTGGTTTGAAGTTCTCCTGGAAGAGGTCCTTCACATCCCTTGTAAGTTGTATTCCGAGGTATTTTATTCTCTTTGTAGCAATTGTGAATAGGAGTTCACTCATGATTTGGCTCTCTGCTTGTCTGTTATTGGTACATAGGGATGTTTGTGATTTTTGTACATTGATTTTGCATCCTGAGACTTTGCTGAAGTTGCTTATCAGCTTAAGGAGATTTTGGGCTGAGAGGATGGGATTTTCTAAATATACAATCATGTCATCTGCAAACAGGGACAATTTGACTTCCTCTCTTCCTATTAGAATACCCTTTATTTCTTTCTCTTTCCTGATTGCCCTGGCCAGAACTTCCAATACTATGTTGAATAGGAGTGGTGAGAGAGGGCATCCTTGTCTTGTGCTGGTTTCAAAGGGAATGCTTCCAGCTTTTGCCCATTCAGTATGATATTGGCTGTGGGTTTGCCACAAATAGCTCTTATTATTTTGAGATACATTCCATCAATACCTAGTTTATTGAGAGACGTGTTGAATTTTATCAAAGGCCTTTTATGCATCTATTGAGATAATCATATGGTTTTTGTCATTGGTTCTGTTTATGTGATGGATCACATTTATTGATTTGCGTATGTTGAACCAGCCTTGTATCCCAGGGATGAAGCTGACTTGATCATGGTGGATAAGCTTTTTGATGTGCTGCTGGATTTGGTTTGCCAGTATTTTATTGAGGATTTTTGCATCAATGTTCATCAGGGATATTGGCCTGAAATTTTATTTTTTGTTGTGTCTCTGCCAGGTTTTGGTATCAGGATGATGGTGGCCTCGTAAAATGAGTTAGGGAGGAGTCCCTCTTTTTCTATTGTTCTGAATAGTTTCAGAAAGAATGGTACCAGCTCCTCTTTTTACCTCTGGTGGAATTCGGCTGTGAATCTGTCTGGTCCTGAGCTTTTTTTGGTTGGTAGGCTATTAATTACTGCCTCAACTTCAGAACTTGTTATATTATTGGTCTATTCAGGGATTTGAATTCTTCCTGGCTTAGTCTTGGGAGGGTGTGTGTGTCCAGGAATTCATCAATTTCTTCTAGATTTTCTAGTTTATTTGCATAGAGGTGTTTATGGTATTATCTGATGGTAGTTTGTATTTCTGTGGGATCAGTGGTGATATCCACTTTATCATTTCTTATTGTTTTTATTTGCTTCTTCTCTCTTTTCTTCTTTATTAGTCTGACTATCAGTTGTGTTAATCTTTTCACGAAAGCAGCTCCTGGATTCATTGATTTTTTGAAGGGTTTTTGTGTCTCTATCTCCTTCAGTTCTGCTCTGATCTTAGTTATTTCTTGCCTTTTGCTAGCTTTTGAATATATTTTCTCATGCTTCTCTAGTTCTTCTAATTGTGATGTTAGGGTGTCGATTTTAGATCTTTCCTGCTTTCTCCTGTGGGCATTTAGTGCTATAAATTTCCCTCTAAACACTGCTTTAGCTGTGTCCCAGAGATTCTGGTACACTGTGTGTTTGTTCTCACTGGTTTCAAAGAACTTATTTACTTCTGCCTTAATTTTGTTATTTACCCAGTAGTATTCAGGAGCAAGTTGGTCAGTTTCCATGTAGTTGTGCCATTTTGAATGAGTTTCTGAATACTGAGTTCTAATTAGATTGCCCTGTGGTCTGAGAGACTGTTTGTTATGATTTCTGTTATTTTGTATTTGCTGAGGAGTGTTTTACTTTTAATTATGTGGTCAATTTTAGAATAAGTGTGATGTGTTGCTGAGAACAATGTATATTCTGTTGATTTGGGGTGGAGAGTTCTGTAGATGTCTATTAGGTCCACTTGGTCCAGAGCTGAGTTCAAGTCCTGAATATCCTTGTTAATTTTCTGTATCGTTGATCTGTCTAATATTGACAGTGGGCTGTTAAAGTCTCCCACTTTTACTGTATGGGAGTCTAAGTCTGTTTGTACATCTCTAACAACTTGCTTTATGAATCTGGGTGCTCCTGTATTGGGTACATATATATTTAGGATAGATAGCTCTTCTTGTTGCATTGATACCTCTACCATCTTGTAATACCCTTCTTTATCTCTTTTGATCTTTGTTGGTTTAAAGTCTATTTTATCAGCGACTAGGATTGCAACCCCTGCTTTTTTTTGCTTTCCATTTGCTTGGTAAATATTCCTCCATCCCTTTATTTTGAGCTGATGTGTGTCTTTGCAGGTGAGATGGGTCTTGTAAATAGAGCACAGTGATGGATCTTGACTTTTTATCCAATATGCCAGTCTGTGTCTTTTAACTGGGGGCATTTAGCCCGTTTATACTTAAGGTTAATACTGTTATGTGTGAATTTGATCCTGTCATTATGATGTTAGTTGGTTATTTTGCCCATTAGTTGATCCAGTTTCTTCATAGTGTTGATGGTCTTTACAATTTGGTATGTTTTTGCAGTGGTTGGTACCAGATTTTCTTTTCCATATTTAGTGCTTCCTTTTAAAAGCCCTTGTAAGGCAGGCCTGGTGATGACAAAATATCTCAGCATTTGCTTGTCTGTAAAGGATTTTATTTCTCCTTCACTTATGAAGCTTAGTTTGGCTGGATATGAAATTCTGGATTGAAAATTCTTTTTTTTTTTTAAGAATGTTGAATATTGGCCCTCATTCTCTTCTGTCTTGTAGGGTTTCTGCAGAAAGATCCAATGTTAGTCTGATGGGTTTCCCTTTGTAGGTAACCTGACTTTTCTTACTGGCTGCCCTTAACATTTTTTCCTTCATTTCAACCTTCATGAATCTGACGATTATGTGTCTTGGGATTGCTCTTCTCGAGGAGAATCTTTGTGTTGTCCTTCGCATTTCCTGAATTTGAATGTTGGCCTGTCTTGCTAGGTTGGAGAAGTTCTCCTACAAGGAAGTTTGAACTGGGCGGAGCCCACCATAGCTCTGCAAAGCTGCTGTAGCCAGACTGCCTCTCTAGATTCCTTCTCTCTGGGCAGGACATCTCTGAAAGAAAGGCAGCAGCCCCAATCAGGGGCTTATAGATCAAATTTCCATCTCCCTGGGACAGAGCACCTGGGGGAAGGGGTGGCTGTGGGCACAGCTTCAGCAAACTTAAACATTCCTGCCTGCTGGCTCCGAAGAGAGCAGCTGATCCCCCAGCACATCACTCGAGCTCTGCTAAGGGATAGACTGCCTCCTTATGTGGGTCCCTGACCCCCGTGCCTCCTGACTGGGAGAACACCTCCTAGCAGGGGCCAACAGACCCCTTATACAGGAGAACTCCGGCTGTTATCTGGTGGGTGCCTCTCTGGGACGAAGCTTCCAGAGGAAGAAACAGGCAGCAATGTTTGCTGTTCTGCAGTCTCTGTTGGTAATACCCAGGCAAACGGGGCCTGGAGTGGAACTCCAGCAAACTCCAGCAGACTTGCAGCAGAGGGAACTGTTAGAAGAAAAACTAACAAACAGAAAGGAATAGCACCAATATCAACAAAAAGGACGTCCACTCAAAAACCCCATCCAAAGGTCACCAACATCAAAGACCAAAGGTAGTCAAATCCATGAAGATGAGGAAAGACAAATGCAAAAAGGCTGAAAATTTTAAAAACCAGAATGGCACTTCTCCTCCAAAGGATTACAACTCCTCGCCAGCAAGGGAACAAAACTGGACGGAGAATGAGTTTGACGAACTGACAGAAGTAGGCTTCAGAGGGTGGATAATAACAAACTCTTGCAAGATAAAGGAGCATGTTCTAACCCAATGCAAGGAAGCTAAGAACCTTGAAAAAAGGTTAGAGGAATGCTAACTAGATTAGAGAAGAACATAAATTACCTGATGGAGCTGAAAAACAGAACAAGAACTTTGTGAAGCTTACATAAGCATCAATAACCGAATTGATGAGCAGAAGAAAAGATGTCAGAGAATGAAGATTAACTTAATGAAATGAAGCATGAAGACAAGATTAGAGAAAAAAGAGTGAAAAGGAATGAACAAAGCCTCCAAGAAATACAAGACTATGTGAAAAGACCAAACCTATGTTTGATTGGTGTACCTGAAAGTGATGGGGAGAATGGAACCATGTTGGAATACACCCTTCAGGATATTATCAATTCCTTTCAATACGAACCAAGAAATGGGATTACTGGATCATATGGTGGTTCTATTTTTAATATTTGGAAGTAGTTACATGCTGTTTTCATAACGGCTATAGTAATATATATTCCAACCAATAATACACAAGAGTTCTCCTTTCTCTATACCTGTTGCCACCATTTATCATCTTTAAAATAACAGCTATTCAAAGTGATATGAAGTGATATGAAGTGATATCTCATTGTGGTTTTGATTTATATTTCCCTAATGATTTTTATGGTAAGCATCTCCATTAGACTGTTTTTTTTGTGTGTTCTTAGGATAAATGTCTATTCAGGTCCTTTGACCATTTTTAATTAGGTTATTTGCTTGGTTGGTTTTTGCTAACGAGTTGTAAGGGTTCTTCATGTATTTTGGATATTAACCCTTTATCAAATATATAGTTGGCAAATTTTTTTCCATTCCATAGATTGTTTTCACATTAGGGTGATTGTTTCCTTTTCTTTGCAGCAGCTTTTTTGCTTGATGTAATCCCACTGGTCTATTTTTACTTTTATTGGTTGTGCTTTTGGTGTCACTTCCAAGAAGGCATTACCAAGGCCAATGTCAAGATTTTTCTCTATGTTTTCTTCAAGGAGTTTTACAGTTTCAGGTTTTACATTGAAGTCTTTAATTCATTTTGAATTTGTTTTTGGTCGGGGTGGGGGCTGCAATGTAAGACAAGGGTCCAACTTCATTCTTTTGCATGTGAATATTCAGTTTTCCCAATAAAGAGACTATCCTTTTTCCTTTTCCCATTGTGTATTCTTGGCTTCCATGTCAAAGATCAGTTGACTCTACATTATTTCTTATTTCTTTATTCTTCCTATTTTATATTCTTATTCAAAGATCAGTTGACTCTACATTATTTCTTATTTCTTTATTCTTCCTATTTTATATTCTTATTTCTGGTCTCCTTATTCTGTTCTATTGGTCTCTATATCTGTTTCTATGCCAATACCATAATGTTTTGATACTGTAGCTTTGTGCTATATTTTGAAATCAGAAAGTGTATGTCACCAGCTTTTTCTTCTTACTCAAAATAGCTTTGGCTACTTGAGGACTTTTTGTGTTTTCAAATAAATGTTAGGATTGGTTTTTCTATGTCTGTAAAATATGCCACTGGGATTTTGATATAAACTGCATTGATCACTTTGTAGATCACTTTGTGTAGCAGGGACATTTAACAATATTAAGACTTCTAATTCATGAACACAGACTATCTTTCCATTTATCCTTGTCCTCTTTAATTTTTTTAGTGTCTCCTGTCTTGTGGCTTTCACTCCTTTGATTATGTTTATTCTTAGGTATTTTATTCTTTTTGATGCTATTCTAAAGGTATTGTTTTCTTAATTTTATATTCAAATAGTTTGTTGTTAATATGTAGAACACAATTGAGTTTTGTGTGTTAATTTTGTATCCTGCAACATTACTAAGTTTATTTATTAGATCCAATAAATTTCTGGTGGATTCTTTAAGATTTTCTATGTGTAAGATTATGTTGTCTGCCAATAGGGAAATTTAACTTCTTTCTTTCCAATCTGGATGACTTTTATTTCTTTCTCTTGCCTGACTGGCCTGAATAGGACTTCCCGTAGTATGTTGAACAAAAATGCTCAGAGGGGGCATCCTTATCTTATTCTTGATCTTAGAGGAGAAGCTTTCAACTGTCACTGTTAGGTATGACTTTAGCTATGGGTTTGTTATATATGGCCTCTATTTTGTTGAGGTAGAGTCCTTCTATACCTACTTTTTTGAGAGTTTTTATTATGAAATGATGTTAGATTTTGTCAAATGCTCTTTCTGCATCTATTGTGATGTTTATATGATTTTGCTCCTTCATTCTATTAATATGTGTCATATTGATTGATTTGCATATGTTGAATCATCCTTACATCCCAGGGTTATTATAAATCCCACTTGATCATGATGTATTATCCTTTTAATGTATTGATTAATTTGATTTTCTAATATTTTGTTGAGAATTTTTCTTCCATATTAATCTGAGATATTGGCCTGCAGTGTTCTCTTCTTGCGGTATCTTTGTCTGGTTTTAGTATCAGGGTAATACTGGCTTCCTAACATGAGTTTGGAAGTCTTTTTTTTTCTATGTTTTGAAAGAGTTTAAAAAGGATTGGTACTAATTCTCCTTTAAATATTTGGTAGAATTCGCCTGTGGAGCCACCTGGTCCTGGGCTTTTGTTTGTTGGAAAGTTTTTGATTACTAGTTTAATTAAGTATTTGTTATTGGTCTTTTCAGGCATTATACGACTTTTTGGTTCAGTCTTAGAAGGTTGTATGTTTCTAGGAAGTTATCTATTTTTTTTTTCTAGGTTGGCCAATTTGTTGGCTATTATTGTTCATAATTGTCTCTTATTATCTTGTTAATTTCCATTATGTCAGTTGTAATGTCTTTTCTTTCATTTCTCCATTTATCTTTTTGAGTTTTTTCTCTCTCTTTTTCTTAGTAGTCTAGCTAAAGGTTTGTTGATTTGGTTTATCATTTCAAAACACCTACTTTTAGTTTTCTCAGTTTTTGTCTATTTTTCTATTGTCTATTTCATTTATTTATTCTCCAATATTTATTTCCTTCCTTCTGCTTTCTTTAGTTTTAGTTATTTTTTTTTGAATTCCTTGAAATGTAGTTTGTTTATTTGAAATCCTTCTTCTCTATTTAATGTTGGCCTTTATTTCTATAAACTTCCCTCTTAGCACTGCTTTGCTGCATCATATAAGTTTTGGTATGTTGCATTTTCATTTTTGTTTGTCTGAAGATTTTTTTTTTTTTTTTAGATGGAGTTTCGCTCTTGTTGCGCAGGTTGGAGTGCAATGGCGCAATCTTGGTTCACTGCAACCTCCACCTCCTGGGTTGAAGCAATTCTTCTGCCTCAGCCTCCCAAGTAGCTGGGGTTACAGGTGCCCACCACCACACCCATCTAATTTTGTACTTTCAGTAGAGATGGGGTTTCTCCATGTTGGTCAGGCTGGTCTTGAACTCCCAACCTCAGGTGATCTGCCCACCTCGGCCTCCCAAAGTGCTGGAATTATAGGCGAGAGCCACTGTGCCTGGCCAGCCTTAAGATATTTTCTAATTTCCCTTTCTATTTCTTCTTTGATACAATAGTTGTTTAAAGAGTGTGTTGTTTAATTTTTATATATTTATGAATTTTCTAGTTTTCCTTCTGTTATTTATTTATTTATTTATTTTTTTGAGATTGGGGGTCTCACTCTGTTGCCTGGGTCAGAATGCAGTGGCACAATCTTGGCTCACTGAATCCTCCACCTCGTGGGCTCAAGCAATTCTCCCACCTCAGCCTCTTGAGTAGCTGGGACTACAGGCATGAGCCACCAATGCTCCAACTAATTTTTGTATTTTTAGTAGAGACAGGGTTTTGCCATGTTGGCCAGGCTGGCCTCAAACTCCTAACCTCAGGTAATTCACCCACCTTGGCCTCCCAAAGTGCTAAAATTACAGGTGTGATCTATCAGGCCCGGGCCTTCTGCTATTGATTTCTTGTTCCATTGTATGTGGTTGGAAAGGAAATGTAGTATTATTTCAATCTTCTTAAATTTTCTAAGGCCTATTTTGTGATCTGTGTAACGTATCTTGAAGAATGTTCCATGTGTACTTGAAAAGAATGTGTATTTTTCTGGTTTTGGGTGGACTTTTCATGCATCTGACTTAAGTACATTTGCTCTATAGTATGGTTGAAGCATGCTGTTTCCTTGATTGTTATTTCTCTGGATGATCTATCCATGTGAAAAGTGCATATTGAAGTGAGTACTATTATTGTGTTGCTTTGTATATCTCTCTTCACATCAATCAATGTTTGCTTTATGTATTTATGTACTCCAATGGTGGATCCACATATATTTATACTTTTTGTATCTTTTTCCTGAATTGACTTTTTATCATTATATAATCACCTACTTTGTCTCTTCTGACAGTTTTTGACTTAGTCTATTTTCTGTGATATATGTATAGCTACCTGCTTTCTTTTGTTTACTACTGGCATAGAATATCTTGTTTCGTCCTTTTACTTTAGACATGTGTGTCCTTAAATATAAAGTGAATTATAGACAACATGTAGTTGCATCATGGTTTTTTGTTCACTCAGCCACTCTGTATCTTTTGATTAGTGACTTTAACCACTATTAAATTAATTATTCATAGGTAAAGACATACCATTGCCATTTTGTTAATTGTTTTGTGTCTATTTTGTGGCTCTTTTGTTCTTCTCTGTGTCTCTCACTGTATTCATTTGTGACTTAATAATTTTTGTGATAATATATATATATATATTTTCTTTATCCTTTTGGTTTCTATTATAGGGTTTTTTTTTATGTTACCTTAAGTTTCCCTTAAAATATCTTATAGTTTAAGTCTTTTTAAAACTGACAACAACTTAACTTCAATTGCATATAAAAACTACACACTTTTATGTTATTAATGTCTGAATTTACTTCTTTTTATGTTCTGTATTTATTAACAAATATTTTTGGCTAGAATTTTGCTTTTTCTCTTTTCTTTCCTTTTTTTTTTTTTTTTTTTAAATCAGGTTCTCACTATATTCCCAGGCTGGTCTCAAACTCTTGAGCTAAAATGATTCTCCTGCCTCAGACTCTTCAGTAGCTGGAATTACAGGCACATGCCACCACACCCAGCAACTATAATTACTCTTAATACTTTTATCTTGTAGCACTTGTATTAGGGTTAAAAGTTATTTATGTATCGCCATTATAGTACTACCTAATTCTGCCTTAAATATGCTTTTGTGTTGCTGTTTATTATCCTTTTCAGTCTTTAGACTAGCTTTATCAATGAAAGGCCTTCATTAGTCAGCCAAGCTGAGGATTCTGGGGGAGCCTCTCAAACCTTTTATTGGATGCATCTGTTCTACTTCTTTCATTCTCTTCTGAGGGAAAAGATTTAGGATTATGTGACTTTTATCCATGTGAGAACCATCCTGGATGCTCCTTCCTTTCCCTAGGGCAGTGTCCTGCAATGCCTGGTGATATGGTTTGACTCTATGTAACCCCCAACATCTTATCCTGAATTGTAATAATCTCCATGTGTTGTGGGAGGGACCTGATGGGAGGTAATTGAATCATGGGGGTGGGTCTTTCCTGTGCCATTCTAGTGATAGTGAATAAGTCTCACAAGATCTGATGGTTTTATAAGGGGAGTTCCTCTACACAACAAGAGAGGCAAGTTCCTGTCTTGCCTGCCACCATGTAAGATGTGACTTTGCACCTCATTTTCCTTCCACCATGATTGTGAGGCCTCCCCAGCCATGTGGAACTGTGAGTCAATTAAACCTCTTTCTTTTATAAATTACCCATTCATGAGTATGTCATTATTAGCAGCAAGGGAACAGACTAATACACCTGGGTATTGGAGAAAGCTTCATTTCTCTCTCTTTCTCCTGAAAGAGACTTATTAGGGTTCCATACCTTCTGCTCACCTGAAGACCCATACTAAGTCCTAAGATTAATCTGCCTCCATTTTGTAGGGTAGTATGCCAAGATGCTGGAATGATGAGTGCAAGCTCCATTACTCTCCCTCCCTCCTGATGAAACAGTATCAGGGTTGCATACCTTCTTTCAATCCTGCAAAATTGAGTCATCTGCTGAGGTCTTTGCTGGATGTTGAGGTCTGCATGCCCACTCTGGAAATGTACTGGTTCCAACTGTGGTGGTATGTGGAACACCAGCTGTCAAAGTCCATGGGTTGTCTGGCTACTGGGGTCTCCACATGCTGGTCAGCTGGCCCAACAGGCCACAGACAGATTAGCTGATATAGTTGTGCAGATTCCCTCAGTGTTCTGGGTGAGGTAAGAGGCAGCCTTCTTGGCAACATCTCAAAAGGATAGGGAAGCTGAATGCTCACTTTGTTCTCTCTTTCCCCTATGGGAGAAATCAAAGATAAGTGTACAGTCACCTATGAAGAAAATCCCATCATACTAACAGCGGAATTTTCAGCAGAAACTTTACAGGCCAAAAGATAATGGGATAGCATTTCAAAAAGCTGAAAGAAAAAAACTGTCAATCAAGAATTTTATAACCTGCCAGAATGGTCTTTTTAAATGAAGGAGAAATCAATTCTTTCCCAGGTAAGTAAACACTGAGGGAATTTGTCACCATTAGACCAGTCCTACATGAAATGCTCAAAAGAGTTTTAACATGGAAATAAATGATAAGTTGATATTCACTATTATGAAAACACATGGAAATATAAAACTAACAGTTCTTATAAAACAATCACACAATGGAGTAGGAGTAAGAGAAAGCAATCAAATGGCAACATGACAGAATTTCATGAAATTATGAAGACAAAAAGATAAAGAAAGAAACAAAGAAGTTATTTTAAAAATTGGAAACAACAATATGATAGGAACAAACCTTCACATATCAATATTAACCTTGAATGTAAATAGATGACATACTCCAACATAATAAAGGTCATATATGACAAACCCATAGGCAGCATCATGTTTATCAGGGGAAAGTTAAAAGCATTTCTAAGCACTGAAGAAAGACAAAGATGCCTACTTTCACTGCTCTTATTCAACATAGTCTGCAAGTTTTTGCCAGAGCAATCAGACCAGGGGGAAAAAAATTCAACTTGGAAAGGAGGAAGTCAAATTATCCCGGTTTGTTGATGCACTAATCTTCTATCTAGAAAACCCTAAAGACTCCACCAAAAAAACTCTTAGATTTGGTAAATGAATTCAGTAAAGTTTCAGGATGCAAAATTAATGTACAGAAGTCAGTAAAATTTCTCTAAACCAATAATGATCTAGTTGAGGACCAAATGAAGAACTCAATTTCATTTACAATAGCTACAAAAAACCCTAACAATATATTTAACCAAAGAGGTAAGATATGTCTACAATGAGAAGTACAAAGTAGCAGAGATGACACAAACAAATGAAAAAACATTCTATACTCATGGGTTGGAAGAATCAATGTCATTTAAATGACCATACTATCCAAAGGAATTTACAGATTCAATTCAATCCCTATCAAATTACCAATGTAAATTTTCATAGAATTTTTAAAAATCCTAAAATTCACCTGGAACAAAGAACCCAAATAGTCAAAGCAATCCTAAGCAAAAAGAAGAAAGGAACAAAGCTGGATGTATCACATTTCCTAACTTCAAATTATTCTACAAGCTATAGTAACCAGAACAGCATGGTAGTGGTACAAAAATAGACACATGGACCAATTGAACAGAATAGAGAACCCACAAATAAAGCCACGTACCTAAAGCCAACTGATCTTCAATAAAGTTAACAAAAATATACACTGGGGAAAAAACACTGTATTCAATAATGGTGCTGGGGAAACTGAATAGACATATGCAAAAGAATGACACTGGACCCACTGCCTCTCACCACATACAAACATTAACTCAAGATGGATTAAAGTCCTACGCATAAGACCTGAAATTACAAAAATCAAAGAAGAAAACTCAGGAAAAAGTCTTTTGGACATTGGCTAAGCAAAGAATTTATGACCAAGTCCTCAAAAGCAAACACAATGAAACAAAAACATATGAGACTTAATTTAAAATGCTTCTGCACAGCAAAAGAAACAATCAATAGAGTAAACAGAGAGCCTACAGACTGGGGAAAAAATATTTGCAATCTATGTATCTGAAAATGGGCTAATACCCAGAATGTATAAGGAACTCAATTCAATCAGAAAAAAAGAACAAATAACCTCATTAAAAGTGGCAAAAGATATGAACATATATTTTTCAAAAGAAGACATACAAGCAGCAAAAATATGAAAAAGTGTTTATTATCACTAGTCATTAAATAAATGCAAATCTAAACTGCAATTAGATGCCATCTTTTATCAGTTGGAATGGCTATCACCAAAAAGTCAAAATACCACAGATGTTGGTGAAGATGCAGAGAAAAGGGAATGTTTATACACTGTTGGTGGGAATGTAAGTTTGTACAGCCTTTATGAAAACCAGTATGGAGATTTCACAAAGAATTAAAAATAGAACTACCATTTGACCCAACAATCCCACTACTGGTTATCTACCGGTTATATAATGGAAAGAAACCATTATATCAAAAAGGTATCTGCACTCATATATTTATCACAGTACTATTCATAATATTAAAGATATTGAATCAGCCTACGTGTCCATCAGTAGAGGATTGGTTAAAGGAAATGTGAGCTACACACACACACACACACACACACACACACACACACACACACACAGTGGAATACTACTCGGCCATAAAAAATAAAATCTTGTCTTTTGCAGCAACATGGATGGAAATGAAGGCCATTATCCTAAGTGAAGTAACTCAGAAATAGTCAAATACTGCATGTTTTCACAAGTGAGAGCTAAACAATGGGTACACATGGCTATATGGAGTCGAAAAATAGACATGGAAGACAACAAAAGGTAGGGGTGAGGGTTCAACAATTGCCTATTGGATATGACGCTATTTTGGTGTTGGGTACACCAAAAACACAGACTTCACCACTATGCAATATATGCATGTAAAGCATCTGCACTTATGCCCCCCAAATATATTTTTTAAAAAAGAAAGAAAGATGTTCTTTCATCTTCTGGCTTTTACAGTTTCTGATTGGAAGTCTGTCTGTAAACCTATCCTAAAGAGCACTCACAACAGTTTGCTTAGGTAACTCTGTCAAGGTGAATTTCTAGACACAATAATTCTATAAAGTGTGTTGTTTCCCAAGACACTACTAAGTGTCCCACTCGGTGGAATTCTACAACATATGCATATTTATGCTCTCTTCTATAAAACTGTAACTTCTATAAGTGAAAGCTATAAGCCTTATTTATCTCTACAGGTAGTAAATACCCAGTAAATACTATAACTTAATAAAGTTTTTGGACTCATTATGCTAAATAAGATATTTGGTTAGAACACCTTAAGTGCCTAAAATAGTATAGATGAGATATTAATCATAGATACTATTTCTGAGCACCTTATATGTGCCAGACACTGTAACAATCAAATGAGATATGTATTATCATCTTTGTTTTACAGATAAGAAAACAGAGACTGAAGACTTTATATAAATTGCCCAATCCACACAGCTGGGATGTAGCATAACCAGGATTCAGATTATCTAAGAAGACCTCATGATCTGAAAATCTTTATAAATGTGCTTCCTCCTTGAGACAGATCATTAAAAGCAGTTATTATGTTTCTATAACACTATGTATCTTGTGTGTATTGCATATCATATCTGTTTAGGTTCAACTTTGCTTTTCTTTTAAACACTTTTAAGGCTTATCAGAAGCTGCTAGACTTCCTGAAAAATACCATTAAGACTTCCAGGTATTCCAGTATATTTAAATTTCTTATAGTTGCAAGTGACAAAACCTCAACTCAACTAACTTAGGCCAATATGAGAAATTTATTGTCTAATATAAACATCTACAACAAATCCAAGTGTAGAATTGGACTCAGAGATGACAGAATTTATAAACTTCACCCAGTTATTTCCTTTCACTGATTCTTATCTCTGATTTTTTTCTGCATATCAGATTTTCCTGTTCCAGATAAATTTCTCCAGAATTGGGAATATGGCTCTAGACCACTCCAGACTAAAAACCTCCCATCTATTTAGCTCAAGAGGCAAAAAGGAGATTCTTAGAATTTCCAGTTATATCCTACTAAAGACAGATGTAGAGAAATTCTAGGCAGACAGGAGCAGGTCCCAGTGAACCCTACCTTCAAGCTGAAAAGTCTGAAACCTGCAGCCCAAAGTGAGAACTTCTATTCCTGTTTGCCCACTCTCTCCTGATCAGTAAAAAGGCATTATTCAGAAAGAGTCAACTGAATGTTGCCTTTTCCAAAACTACCTATGGCCCGCCCCACCCTGATCCTGTGTCTTTAAAGATCCCAGACTCAGTCAGCAGAGAAGAGAGACTGCCGAATTCTGGGGAAGAGAGATGGCTTATCTTTGGGGACAAGGCAGCCAGACTTCAGGGAGAAGACAACCTGATATCAGGGAAGACTACCTGCCGTTCATTCCCTTCTGTAGCTCCCCTCTCCTCTCTACTGAGAGCCATTTCCATAGCTCAATAAAATTCTCCACTTTCACTGTCCTTCAAGTGTCTGCCTGACCTCATTCTTCTTGTATTCTGACAACAGCTCGGGGCCCACCAAGTGCAGGTACTCAGAAAGGCTGTCACACTGGCACTGTGCCCTCACTGGTGGAGGGCAGTTGCCCCACGTGAGGAGGCAAGAGCCCAACTGAGTTGTTAACACACAAGCATCCACAGACAGTGGAGCTAAGAGAGCACTGTAACACGCCCTGTGGGGCTTCAGAGTTGCAAGCACCCCCACCTGGGCACCGGCACAGTTCACACCCAGAGTTTGCTTCTGCTGGTGCCTGCAGCAGCTGGCCGGATCCCACACTTGTTCAGTCACACCTGGTCTGGTCGTGGGCCCCGCAAGGAGCTTGCTCCTATGGCGCCCGGAGTGGCTGGCTGGTCAGATCCTGCACTCACTCGTTCATGCCTGGTCTGGCCTGCTGTGGGCCCTGCATGGAGCCTATTCCTGTGACAGCGCCCAGAGTGGCCGTCCGGGTCTCGCACTCACTCGCTCACGTGCTCCTTTCTGCATGGGGTTGAGGGCCGTGGGCAGAGTAAACGCTCACCCCTGTTGCAAGTCTGATAAAGAGGACAAGAAAAATCCTATATCACTAAGATGTCTTCTGGTTCAGCCTGAGTCACCCATTTGGTGTTAGGAAGATCACTGTGGCCTCGGGAATGGGGCAATCAGTTGGTCTCAGTATGAGTCAGGGACGCACCCAACTTCTGACTAGTGAAGTGGTATACTAATGACAGTCCCCACTAGAAACACATGGATGGAATGGGGAAGGAGAAATTCCACAAAAGAAGAGGATATTGTTATTAGAATAACGTAATGAGGGGCAGAGTGCTGGTTAACAGAACAGTTTCTGTACACTATATCATGCAAGCATTCCCAGACACTAGGATTTTGGTGAGGTTTTTTTTTTTTTTTTTTGAATGAGGATTAAGGCAATGAGGTGCTTAATTGAATGATTATCCAGCTTCCCACTAGTCTTAGAGATCTAGCTACACCACCTATACAAGAAGTGGAATTAGATGCACATTTGATTGTATAGGCAAATACCACTATTTCCATATGATTAGAAAATCTGGCTCAGTTTTTCAATAAATGTATATTTGGGATGAAGACTACTTGAGTAACAATAATCATATTTCAGATAAAACATATGGGCCATTATGTTACCCATAAGCTACACCCAGAAATAATTCTCAATTTGAAGTCAAGAAGTTGCATTTTAAAAATTTCACAGAACTTACAATGCTACAACAGGGTTTAATTCTTCACAAAAACTAATGTCACTGAAAGAATGTCAAGCTGCAGGTCAAAGAATACATGACTTTGAAGATTGAACTCTCAATTTTAGATTCCTCTTTAATTCATGTTACGTTATACCATAATATGAGAAAAGAAAGAAGCTGCATATGTTGTCACACTTAATGGCAAACATTACATAGAATTGGCTAATTAAATAATAAGTGGATTCTGACTTATATTGAGGTGAATGTCAGAATTCATCAGTGTGAGTATTATTTGACAGAGGTGATAAGTTTCGTTCTCTGGGGTTGATATTTTTCAATACGCTTATGCATCCTAGGGCATTTAAAAGTAATACATTGAGAAGCTAGATTAGCCGCAGTCTGATTTACTGATACCTTTAGGGTGGACACTCTAATTAGCACATATCTGGGATCTTTAAATTACTTAAGCTGTATTAATGCAAACTGAAAAGAGATAGAGAAGATAATAGTAAGTGATTATATGCATAAATGTGCTTGATATAGACAGAAATGCTGATGGAGCTGGAATGGGGCAAGAAAGCAAAACTCTTATATTAAGAGAGTTTCTAAGAATGAAGAAAATGAAGACAGGCTATTTTTAGGGTTTACAGTTCACTATCAAAACCTTAATGGAAAAAATGCCAATGAAGTAAATTTCAAGTAGTCAATACAAATATTTTGTAGTAAATCATTGATTTAAATCATAAATGGTATAAGAAAGTGAATATACAGAGAGGTTTTATGTTTATGGAGTTCTTTCAATCAGTTTTAGTTATCTTTTTTCCTCCATCTATGACATTTTCCTTCTGTCATCACCTCCATGTTTCTCCAGACCGCATTATCTAAATCTGTTGTAAGAAGTGATAGACCACACACTAGATTGCAGGAAATATTATGAGCTTATTTATTTTTAATGCAAACATTAAAAATAAGGAAATAAATTTATTTTAAGCATCAATCTATTTATAAGTATTAAGAATATAAATAGAAATTTAAGGTAAGTACAGTATTATTGGCATTGAGACTTCTCTACCCATGTAACCTTAGAATTTATGAAGTCATAGGGATAATCTGATAAAGCCTTAAGTGTTAGATTTACAGAATCTGATGAAACCTACTGACCTCATGACATACAATGGAATCATGGCAAATATACTATGTAATTGTAGCAAGCTGAGCACTCAAGAGTTTAACAAAACATTTTAACTACTAAGGCTCTTTCCCTATTGAAGCAGTCTTCACTTTGCCACCCAGTGTAGGCTTCTCATCATTATCAAGCATCCAAAGAGAAAGCCTGCAAATAAAAACTTTATTTCCAATTTGGAGATATTGTTTTTAGTAGCCCCATCCTCTGAGGAATTGTAGATGGTGACCTCTGATAGCTCCAGCCAATCCACACTTAAATGTTGGAGGACTTAAGTATCTGGGCTCCAGGGGTACCATTCAGATCATATTTGTTTTCCCTAATGTCAAACACTAATAAATAAGTTGAACACCAGAATATTTTGGTGCTTTGTAGCTGATATGTTAAATCTTAAGAATATAGTTTATTGCTTAAAATGCAGGGTGCTTAAAGAGCAGTAGTAATTGTCATAAAACACATTATCTATAAAGGGCAAAGGGCCGAGGGCATTATTTAGTGTGCAAGAATGGAGAGAAAGGCCAGAGTAATAAGGGAGATGTGAGTTCTTCACTGCAAGATCTTTGCCTATGGATCAGGGCACATAATTGATCCTCCCAAATCAATTTTTATACCTCAATTTCAAAGTCTTTTTAATACTTCTACCAAGAGATAAAGCTTAGATTTCTTTTGCCTTATTATTTCGTATTTGTTGAACTCCATCTTGGAGGTTACCTAAGTATTCATTAACTCTCTCAAATTATTGATGAGCAATAGAGTAAAGCAGAAAGCAATATAATTTTCTTACCAATTTTATCAACACCAGTAGAAGCAGTAGTAGCAGCAACAAACAAAAATTTTTGTGTTAGGCACTAAGGATGAAGAAAAACACACAGGTCAGCCCCTTAATGGGTTCATAGTTAATTTCTAAGTGACCTTTCCAAAAGAATGTGTTTGAGTACATTGGATGCAAAACAAAAAGATTATCTACTTAGGAATGGTGCCTTTTAACTTTCATAAATTACTAAAGTATTAAATACTTTTCATCATTTAGAATAACATTCGTAAATGTGTCTTAATAAAAAAAAACCTACCAACAACAAAAATCTCACATACACAGTAGCTCGATTCAGCTTTTTCACAGACTCTTACATTTTTTAAAATGCTAATACTCACAGCCATGAAAAAAGAATGAAATGATATCCTTTGCAGGAACATGGATGCAGCTGGAAGCCATTATCCTAAGAGCATTAATGCAAGAACAGATAACCACCAGTTATAAGTGGGAGCTATACATTGGGCACTCAAGGACATAAAGATGGCAATAATAGATACTGGGGACTACTAGACAGGAGAGGAAGAGACGGGGGCAAGGACTAAAAAACTAACTATTGGATACTAGGCTCACCCTCTAGGTGACAGGATCAATTGTATCCCAAACCTCAGCATCATGCAATATACCCATGTAACAGCCTGCACATGTGCTCCCTGAATCTTAAAAAAATGTTGAAGTTATAAGAAAAAATAAAAAATAAAAAAGGGAAAATGCTAATACAATTTAGAGTTTAATAATTAAAATAAAACTACTAAGAGACTTTTTAACTTTTGTAAGCCATACCTATTATGAATTTAAGCCATCAGGGTACTCATTTTTATTAATTATTTAAAAGAGAGGGTAGATTCTTATAAGTACCTAGGCAAAATTCAAGGAGCAGTTGGGTATCTGTAAGAAACAAATTTACTATTCAGAGCATGGAATGATGGTCTAGTTACAATTATACCTCAGAAGAATTGCAATTTAAAGATAAACAAATCTCCAGTATGTTTAAACATTGTATGATATTATACTTAGTATGGAAAGTAGTCTTCAAAATAATATGTATAGTATGATCTCAACTGGGGGGAGACTGTATGTATATATTTATAAAAAGATACACATTAAAATGTAAAGATAGTGGTAGATGTAACTCATGAACATTAGCTGCTTCTTCATAATTTTCCTTGTTTCCCAAAATTTCAAAAAAATACTATTATTATGTTAAAAGTTATTAAAAATAAGGTTGTCGATGGGTTATGAATATGTGTGGCTGATACACAGTTTGGGTAAATCTTTGAATGAAGTTTGAGTCCTGTGCAACAATCTGCACTGTTCATTGTGAAATGTGGCATGAGTAGTGCACTGGAACTTTTAGTCACAGCTGCACTTCCAAATCACAGTATGTTACCTTACAGTGTTATAAGCAAAAACCAGCTGCAAGCAGAGAAATGTTGTTCAGATGGTAAGTATTGGCAAGCTATTCAAATAAGAAATAAAACTGGTATTTTAAAAAGCTATTAAATGTATGTATAGATAATGACAAAGATATAAAACTGATAGTATCTTTTCCTTTTAAAATATAGAATCAGTTAATTTGAACATCATGTAATTGTGCAAGCAAAATTTCCCACTTATTTCTTGTCATGGTTCACTAGTATAAAGAATAGTTTCATTTCTCTTATTTGTAAAAAAATGAGCATACTAAGAAAATAAAAACAAGTATTTAAAAACTCTAAAGCAAATCAGCCTTCCAAAGTATAGTATGCATATTTACTCATAGGTTAAAATAAATAATTTGGCTATAGCACAAAATGCAATTTATTTTCCTGGAACAAATACTAATATCTGTTTCTTTATGGATCATGGTGATTATATTATTTACATAAGGTAGATGAATAATTGAGATCAATACATGAAAATTTATCCATATATGAAATTTTTGTATGTTAATCATATTTCCCATTTAAAATTCTAAGATCCATTGCAATGTATAAATGATGGCTACAAGACATAACAAAACTGTCCTTTAGAATTAAAAAATAATTACCTATTTATACATTTTATTTTTATATTTATATTTATATATTTTTTAGATGGAATCTTGCTCTGTTGCCCAGGCTGGAGTACAGGGGCGTGATCTCAGCTCACTGCAACCTCCATCTCCTGGGTTCATGCAATTCTCCTGCCTCAGCCTCTACGAGTAGCTGGGATTACAGGCATGCACCACGATGCCCAGCTAATTTTTGTGTTTTCAGTAGAAAGGGGGTTTCGCCATGTTGGCCAGGCTGGTCTCAAACTCCTGACCTCAAGTGATTCACCTGCCCGCAGCCTCCCAAAGTGCTGGGATTATAAGCATGAGCTACCACGCCTGGCCCCTATATATACATTTTTTGAAATTACTGGGAAGATGGCAGCTAAATTATACCACTGTTGTCCTATGTATGTCCTTAATTACTGTTTAGATAAATCCATTTCCTGAGTCAGCAGCTGCTATGTTGATAGGCAGAGGTATGGGGATATGTGACACTAGAAGCCTTGAGGTTTTCCAGGTCTGGAAAGAGAGGACGTATTGAAATTGTCCTCCTGGAATAGACAATAGATTGTGCACCAGTAGCAAAGAACCCTGAAGCAACAAGTGGGGAGAATGTTTAGACTAATTTTGGCTCATGGAGACTCTTGTGACTATCTCTAGGGGCTGTATTCAAGCCTGATGGATCTGAGAAGATACAGGGAATCTTATTAAGTGGGCTAGTGAGTTTTCTCTACCTTGTAGATAGAATGGCTAGAAAACTTGTCTTTAAAACAGAAGAGTCTAGAAGCAGAGAGATTTCTTTACATTGTCAGATAGAATACTGGTAACTTGCTGGCTGCTCTGCAGCTAAGCTCACTGAGGTAAAGGCCACTGAGATTACCTCTCTCACCACTCTTAGAATTGACACTGCCTAAGGTAGCCCAGCGGCTGGCTGAATCCTGGTGAGTAGTCAAAGAAAAATACCAAATCACTTAAGGAGATACAGCACTCATGAGAAAAAAAAAAAAAAAAGAAAAAAGAAAGAAAAAACTAGAAGAAAAGAAGAACTGCTGGAAGAAACAAATGAAAACTTAAATTTAAAATGTAAGTAAAGATCAATAACCTAAATGTACATCTTAAGAATTAGAAAAAACAAAGAGCAAACTAAGTCAAAAGATGAAAGGGTACTTCCTCAATATGATACAGGGTATTGTGGAAAACCCACAGCTATGCACATTATGCAATGTCAAAGAATAAAAGCATTTTCTCTAAGGTCAGGGACAAAACAAGGAGGCTGCCTTGACCATTGCTATTCAAAATTGTACTGGAAGTTCTAGCCAGAGTAATTGGGCAAGAAAAAGAAACAAAAGGTATTGAAATTGAAGTAAAAGAGTAAAACTGTTTCCAGATGACATAATAGAAAATCCCAATAATCCATAAAAAAGCTACTAAATCTAATAAACAAATTCAGCAAAGTTTTTGAGTACAAGATAATGCATAGAAACCAACTGTGCTCTTATACACTGCCAATAAACAATCTGATAAAGAAATTAAGAAATTAAGTAAATTTCTGGTAGCATCCAAAGGAATAAAGTGCCCCCCAAAAATTAGCCAAGTAGATTATGATGGTTAATTTTATGTGTCAACTTTACTGGGCTAAGCAATGCCCGCATAGTTGATAAAATATTTCTGGATGTGTCTGTGAGGATGTTTTCAGAAGAAATTAGTATTTGAAGTGGTAGGCTGAGTAAAGATTATCCTCACTGATGTGGGTGAACATCATCCAATCCACGGAAGGCTGAACAGAACAAAAAGGCAGAGGAAGAGTAACTTGGCCTATGCTTGGGCTGGGGCATCCATTTTCTCCTGCCCTCAGACATCAGTGGTCTTTGTTTTCAGGCTTTCAGACTTAGACTGGGACTTACACTATTAGCCCTCCAGTTCTCAGGCTTTCAAATTTGGAATGAAACTATATCATCAGCTTTCTGGTGTCTTCAGCTTGCAAATGGCAGATCATGAGACTTCTCAACCTCAGTAATTGTGTGAGCCAATGCTACATAATAAATCTCTTTCTATATATTTCTATATATATATATCCTATTGGTTCTGTCTCTCTGGAGAACCCTGATTAATACAGATGTGAGAGACTTGTACACTGAAAACTACAACACATTACTGAAATAAATTTAAGAATACTTAAATGAATTGAAATATATTAGTGTTAATAAATTTGAAAACTTAATGTTGCTATAATGTCATACTACCCAAATAAATCTATATATTCAATGCAATCTCTAGGAAAATTCCAATGACATATTTTTTAAAAAAGAAAAAGCTAATTCTCAAACTCATATGGAATTGTGAGTGTCTCCTAATAGCCAAAACAATCTTGAAAAAGAAGAGTAATTTTGGAGGACTCATATTTTCTGATTTAAAAACTTTTTACAAAGACTACACTTTCAGGGATTATTTCTATAGTTCATTCCTAGAGAAATTTCTCTGAACATGTAGAGCATGAAAAACTAATTATGGAAAGGGAAGACCATTACCAGCCAGTACAAAAACACAATGAAGTACACAGACAAGTTACACAATAAAGCAACCACATAAACAAGTCTGCCAAATAACCAGCTAACATCATGATGACAGGATCAAATCCAAACATATCAATACTAACTTTAAATGTAAATGGGCTAAATGCCCCAATTAAAAAACACAGAGTGGCAAGCTGGAAAAAGAACCAAGACAAATTTATATGCTGTCTTCAAGAGGCTTATCTCACATGCAATGACACACATAGGCTCAATATAAAAGGATGGAGAAAAATTTACCAAGTAAATGGACAACAGAAAAAAGCAAGGAATGCAATCCTAGTTTCTGACAAAACAGACTTTAAACCAATAAATATCATAAAAGACAAAGAAGGGCATTATATAATGCTAAAGAGTTCAACCCAACAAGAAGAACTTACTATCATAAATATATATGCACCCAACACACGAGCACTCAGATTCATAAAAGCAAGTTCTTAGAGACCTTCGAAGATACTTAGACTCCCACACACTAATAATGGGAGACTTTTACACCCCACTGGCAATATTAGACAGGTCATCAAGACAAAAAATTAACAAAGCTATTCAGGACTTGAACTTGGCAGTAGATCAAATGGACATTATAGAAATATATAGAACTTTCCACCCCAAAACAAGAGAATATATGTTCTTCTTATCACCACATGGAATTTACTCTGAAATTGATTACATAATCAGAAATAAAATACTGTTCAGCAAATGCAAAATAACTGAAATCATAACAAACAGTCTCTCAGACCACAGCACAATCAAATGTGAAATCCAGACTAAGAAGTTTACTCAAAACCATACAATTACATGGAATTTGAATAATCTGCTCCCAAATGACTTTTGGGTAAATAATGAAAGTAAGGCAGAAACCAAGAACTTCTTTGAAACTAATGAGAACAAAGATACAGCATACCAGAATCTCTAGGACACAACTATAGCACTAAATGCCCACATTGAAAAGTTAGAAAGAGCTCAAGTTAACAACCTAAACAACTAAGGAACTAGAGAATCAAGAGCAAAGAAATCCAAAAGATAGCAGAAAACAAGAAATAACCAAAATCAGAGCTGAACTGAAGGAGATAGAGACGTGAAAAACCATTCAAAATATCAACAAATCCTGGAGCTGATTTTTTTTAAAAATTAATAAAATAGACCACTAGCCAGAGTAACAGAGAAGAAAAGAGAGAAGATTCAAATGAGCACAATCAGAAGAACAAGGATGATACTGCACTGACCCAACAGAAATACAAACAACCATTAGAGAATATTATGAACACCTCTATGCTCATAAACTAGAAAATCTGGAAGAAATGGATAAATTCCTGGACACATACATCCTCCCAGGACTGACCTAGGAAAAAATGGAATCCCTGAATAGAGCAATAACAAGTTATGAAACTGAGGCAGTAATAAATGGCCCACAAACCAAAAAAAAAAAAAAAAAAAAAAAAGCCCAGGACCAGATAGATTCACAGCTGTAGTCTATCAGATGTACAAAGAAGAGTTTGTACTTCTTGAAGTACAAACTTCAAGAAATTGAAGAAGAGGAATTCATCTCCAACTCATTATATGAGGTCAGAATCATCCTGATACCAAAACCTGGCAGAGATACAACAAAAAAAGAGAAAACTTTAGGCCAATATCCTTGATGAACATTGATGTGAAAACTGTCAACAAAATAATTGCAAACTGAATCCAACAGCACATTAAAAAGCTTATCCACCATAATCAAGTTGGCTTTATCCTCAGGATGCAAGGTTGGTTAATCTATGCAAATCAATAAATGTGATTCACCACATAAACAGAATTAAAGACAAAGATCACATGATTATCTTAATAGATGGATAAAAGGCTTTTGATAAAATTCAACATCCATTCATGTTTAAAATTCCCAATAAACTAGATATTGAAGGAACATACCTCAAAATAATAAGAGCCATCTATGAAAAACTCACAGCCAACATCAGTGACTGGGCAAAAGCTGGAAGAATTCCCCTTGAAAACTTGCACAAGACAAGATGTTCTTTCTCACCACTCTTATTAAAGATAGTATTGGAAGTTCTGGCCAGGGCAGTCAGACAAGATTAAGAAATAAAGAGCATTCAAATAGGAAGAGAGTAAGTCAAACTATCTCTGTTTGCAGATGACATGATCTTATATCTGGAAAACCCCATGGTCTCAGCCCAGAAGCTTCTTAAGCTGATAAACAACTTCAGCAAAGTCTCAGGATACAAAATCAATGTGCAAAAATCACTAGCATTTCTATACACCAACAACAGTCAAGCCAAGAATAAAATCAGGAACAAACTCCCATTCACAATTGCCACAAGAAGAATAAAGTATCTAAGAATACAGCTAGCTAGGGAGGTGAAAGACCACTATGAGGAGAACTATGAACCACCACTAAAAGAAATCAGAGATTACACAAACAAATGGAAAAACATTCCATGCCCATGGATAGGAGGAATCAATATTGTGAAAATGGCCATATCGCCCAAAACAATTTATGGATTAAATGCCATTTCTATTAAACTACCATTGACATCCTTCACAGAACTAGAGAAAACTATTTTAAAACTCATATAGAACCAAAAAAAGAGCCCAAATAGCCAAGGAAATCCTAAGCAAAAAGAACAAAATAGGCCAGGCATGGCAGCTCATGCCTGTAATCCCAGCACTCTGGGAGGCTGAGGTGGGCAGATCACAAGGTCAGGAGATCGAGACCATCCTGGCCAACATGGTGAAACCCCATCTCTACTAAAAATACAAAAATTAGCTGGGTGTGGTGGCATGTGCCTGTAGTCCCAGCTACTCAGGTGGCTGAGGCAGGAAAACTGCTTGAACCCAGGAGTCAGAGGTTGTAGTGAGCTGAGATCACCCCACTGCACTCCAGCCTGGTGACAGAGTGAGATTCTGTCTAAAAAATAATAATAAAAAAGAACAAAGCTGGAGGAATCATGCTATCTGACTTCATACTATACTACAGGGCTACAGTAACCTGTTGGGAGCAGGCCCCCCAAAATCTGGCCAGAAACTGGTCCCAAAACTGGCCATAAACAAAATCTCTGCAGGACTATAACATGTTCATAATGGCCTTAATGCCCAAGCTGGAAGGTTGTGGGTTTACGGGAATGAGGGCAAGGAAAACCTGGCCCACCCAGGGCAGAAAACCACTTAAAGGCATTCTTAAGCCACAAACAATAGCATGAGCAATCTGTGCCTTAAGGACATGCTCCTGCTGCAGTTAACTAACCCAACCTATTTCTTTAATTTGGCCTATCCTTTCATTTCCCATAAGGGATACTTTTAGTTAATCAAATATCTATAGAAACAATGCTAATGATTGGCTTGCTGTTAATAAATATGTGAGTAAATCTCTGTTCGAGGCTCTGAGCTCAGAAGGCTGTGAGACCCCTGATTTCCCACTTCACATCTCTATATTTCTGTGTGTGTGTCTTTAATTCCTCTAGTGCCACTGGGTTAGGGTCTCCCTGACCAAACTGGTCTTGGCAAGTGGCGTCCATCATGGGGGCTGGAATCCAGGTTGAAGGGTCACTGGAGCAATGGTTGGAATGGAAAACTAGCTGGAGGACACCTGAGTACTCTTAAAGAAATCCTGTGGTGAGTAAGAAGGGGAGCTCAGAAGTGTCAGGGTAACAATGGGACAAGTGTGGGGTCTGGTTCATTTCACCTTGGAACTTTTTCAGACTGATGATGAGGAGGAACAAGAGTATAGCAAAGTAACAGAAGAGGTTACAGAGCATGTTTATTTGCCAGCTAAAGCTAAAGTGGCAAAGGAGGGAGAGGTTCATCACTACCTTTCTACACCTCCTCATTATTATTTTGAAGAAAAAGACCCTCCAGATCTTTCTTTTCCAGAGAGCACTGGGTGAAAAGTAGTCTCCCCAGTGACTGTTTGAGCAGTGCCTCAAGCAACCGCTCTTAGTTCTATTCAGGCAGGATTTCAGCAAACTAGATGAGAGGGTGATTTAGAGGCTTGGCAGTTCCCTGTTAGAATACACCCCCAGATCAAGAGGGAAATATTATAGCTACACTTGAGCCTTTTCCTTTTAAATTACCCAAAGAATTTAAACTAGCTATAAATCAGTATGGACCAGGTTCTCCTTTTGTAATGGGACTGTTAAAGAATGTTGCTGTTCCCAGTTGGATGATACCTACTGACTGGGATGCTCTTACTTGAGCTTGTCTAACTCCTGCTCAGTTCTTACAATTTAAAACTTGGTGGGCAGATGAAGCTTCCATTCAGGCTGCTCAAAATGCCCAGGCCCAACCTCAAATTAATATAACTGCAGACCAGCTTTTGGGGGTTGGTGGCTGGGCTGATTTAGATGCACATCTGGTCATGCAGGATGATGCCATAGAACAGCTTAGTGGAGTGTGCATTAGAGCTTGGGAAAAAATCACTTCAGGTGGGGAACAATACCTTTCCTTTAGTGCTATAAAACAGGGACCAAGAGAACCATATGTTGATTTTATAGCTCGGTTACAGGAGTCTCTTAAAAAGATGATTGCAGATTTGGCTGCTCAGGATATAATGTTGCAGTTATTAGCTTTTGAAAATGCTAATCCTGATTGCCAGGCTGCTCTGCGACCTATCAGAGGGAAAGCATATTTAGTTGATTATATCAAGGCCTGTGATGGTATCGGAGGTAATCTGCATAAAGCTACTCTGCTAGCACAGGCAATGGCAGGACTGAGAGTGGATAAAGGAAATACTCCATTTCCTGGAGCTTGTTTTAACTGTGGGAAGTATGGTCATACTAAAAAAGAATGTAGAAAAAATCAAGGAGTCAGGCTGCCAGATAGGGGAAAAAAGAAAAAAACTGCTGAGCCTGAAATGTGTCCAAAATGTAAAAAAAAAAAAAAAAAAATTGGGCTAATCAGTGTCACTCTAAGTTTGATAAAGGTGGGAACCCGGTTTCGGGAAACACCATGAGGGGCCCGTCCTGGGCCCCATTCTAAACTGGGGCATTTCCAGCTCAGGCCATTACCTCACACCAGTACAATGTCTGTCCCCCACCACAGCCAGTAGTGCCACAGTAGATTTATGCTGCACAAAAGCTGTGAGCCTTCTGCCTGGGGAACCCCCGCAAAAGGTCCCAACAGGAGTCTGTGGACCCTGGCCAGCGGGGACAATAGGATTACTTTTAGGAAGGTCTAGTTTAGGTTTAAAAGGGATACAAGTACATACAGGAGTAATTGATTCAGATTACAATGGGAAAATTCAAATTGTTATATCTACTTCTGTTCCCTGGAAAACAGAGCCAAGAGAGTGCATAGCACAGATCCTGATTGTGCCATATGTGGGAATGGGGAAAAGTGAAATTAAATGAACAGGAAGATTTGGAAGCACAAATAAACAAGGTAAAGCAGCTTAGTGGGTAAATCAAATTACTGATAAACATCCTACCTGTGAAATAACTATTCAGGGAAAGAAATGTAAAGCTTTGGTAGATATAGGAGTGGACATTTCAATCATTTCTCTACAGCACTGGCCATCCACATGGCCAATTCAACTGGCTCAATTTAACATAGTTGGAGTTGGTAAAGCCCCTGAAGTATAACAAAGTAGTTATATTTTGCATTGTCAAGGGCCTGATGGACAACTTGGGACTATTCAACCAATTATAACTTCTGTACCTACAAATTTATGGGGAAGAGATTTATTACAACAATGGGGAGCACAAGTTCTAATTCCAGAACAATTATATAGCCCTCAAAGTCAACCTACAATGCATGAAATGGGGTATCTCCCTAGTATAGGACTAGGAAAGAATTTGCAAGATTTGAAAAAACTGCTTCAAATGGAAAAACAAAGTTCTCTCCAACAATTAGGAAATAATTTTTGATGGTGGCCATTGTTAAGCCTCCAGAACCTATACCTTTAAAATGGTTAACAGATAAGCCAATTTGGATAGAACAATGGCTGCCAAGTAAAGAGAAACTGGAGGCTTTAGAGAAATTAGTTACTGAACAATTAGAAAATGGGCACATAGCTCCAATATTTTCCCCTTGGAATTCTCCAGTTTTCATAATTAAGAAAAAATCAGGCAAATGGAGAATGTTATCTGACTTAAGAGCTATCAATTCAGTTATACAACCTATGGGGGCATTACAGCCAGGATTGCCTTCTTCTGCTATAATTCCAAAAAATTAGCCTTTAATAGTCATAGATTTAAAAGACTGTTTCTTTACTATCCCTTTAGCTGAGCAAGACTGTGAACGGTTTGCATTTACAATTCCTGCAGTAAACAACCTGCAGCCTTCTAAGTGTTATCATTGGAAAGTGTTGCCACAGAGCATGTTAAACAGTCCCACAATTTGCCAGACATATGTGGGGCAAGCAATTGAACCTACTTGTAAAAAATTTTCAGTGTTACATTATTCACTATATGGATGATATACTTTGTGCTGCCCCCACTCGAGAAATATTACTCCAGTGTTATGATCACTTGCAAAATTCAATTTCTCTTGCTGGTTTAATTATAGCTCCTGACAAAATTCAGACTACTACTCCTTACTCCTACTTGAGGAACTTAGTAAATGACACTACCATTGTGCCACAGAAAGTAACTATACATAGGGATCAACTAAAAACATTAAATGACTTTCAGAAATTACTAGGGGACATTAATTGGATACGACCTGCTCTAGGCATTCCTACCTATACCATGAGTGATCTGTTTTCTATGCTTAGAGGAAATCCTAGTCTTACTAGCCCTTGCCAACTAACAAAGGAGGCTGAGGTTGAGTTTCAGCTGATTGAAAAGCAAGTCCATAAGGCTCAAATAAATAGAATAGATCCAGACAAGACTCTAGATTTGCTAATTTTTTCAACTCAGCATTCACCTACTGGTGTTATTGTCCAAGAACAGGACTTAGTAGAGTGGCTTTTTCTTCCACATACTAATTCATGGACTCTAACTCCTTATTTAGATCAAATCACTACTATGAGAGGGATTGGGAGAACTCAGATTGTTAAATTACATGGATATGATCCTGGAAAAATTATTGTCCCTCTCATGAAGGCACAAATACAGCAAGCTTTTATAAATAGTCTTACTTGGTAAACCAATTTAGCTGACTTTGTGGGTATTCTCGATAATCATTTTCCTAAAATGAAGCTGTTTCCATTTTTGAAATTAACTAATTGGATTCTCCCTAAAATATCTAAATTTAAACCAATTGAAGCTGCTGAGAATGTCTTTACAGATCAATCTAGTAATGGTAAAGCTTCTTATTTTGGCTCAAAAAGTAAAGTTTTCCAGACATCCTATACTTCAGCTCAAAAAGCGGAGCTTGTAGCGGTAATTGAAGTATTGACTTCTTTTGATATGCCTATTAATGTGATTTCTGATTTTTCATACGTGGTTCAATCCACACAGTTAATTGAAAATGCTCAGTTATGATTTCATACAGATGAACAACTGATGACTTTATCTACTCAATTGCAAACAGCAGTTAGAAGTAGAATGCACCCTTTTTACATCATGCACATTAGGGCTCATACATCTCTTCCAGGACCTTTGACTGAAGGTAATCAAAAGGCTGATCACCTAGTTGCTAATGCAATATCTAATGCTAGACACTTTCACAATTTAACCCATGTTAATGCTTCTGGTCTCAAACGCAGATACAGCATTACCTGGAAAGAAGCTAAAGCTATTATCCAGTGATGCCCAACTTGCCAAATGGTACATTCCTCATCTTTTACAGGAGGAGTTAACCCTTGAGGATTGGAATCTAACTCTCTTTGGCAAATGGATGTCACACATGTTCCCTCATTTGGGAGACTAGCTTATGTACATGTATGTGTGGACACCTTTTCTCACTTTGTCTGGGCTACATGCCAAACAGGAGAGTCTTATGCCTGTGGTAAACATCACCTTTTGCAGTGTTTTGTGGTGATGGACATTCCAGCTTCTATTAAAACAGATAATGCCCCAGGCTATACTAGCCAAGCTCTAGCTACGTTTTTCTCTATGTGGAATATTAAACACATTACTGGTATCCCATACAATTCTCAAGGACAAGCCATAGTGGAAAGAATGAATCTCTCCCTAAAACAGCAGTTGCAAAAGCAGAAAGGGGGAGACAGAATATGGAACCCCACAGATGCAACTGAACCTAGCGTTATTAACTTTAAATTTTTAGAGCCTGCCCAAAGGCCAGATGTTATCAGCAGCTGAACAGCATCTACAGAAACCAGTTGCAAAGACAGAAGCAGAACAACTGATTTGGCAGAGAGATCCAATAACAAAAAATTGGGAAATAAGTAAAATAATAACTTGGGGTAGAGGTTATGCTTGTATTTCTCCAGGCCAAAATCAACAGCCAATTTGGATACCATCAAGACATCTGAAACCTTTTCATGAGCCAGATGCTGAGGAAGAGATTCCGGGAGGATCCCGAGGAACCCCCGGTTGCAGTAATGTTGAGACTGAAGCTGAGGAGGACCCCAACTGTCACAAGCAACACCCGTCCAACACAGCCACCCACCTGGGGACAGATCAAGAAGCTGTCACAGATGGCAGAAGAAAATCTGAGGAAAGCAGGACAACCAGTCACAACAAGTAATTTAATGATAGCTATGATAGCAGTTATCACCACTGCCATGAGTATTCCTTCAACAAGGGCTGAAACAGAGAACAAATATACTTATTGGGCATATTTATCAATCTTGGCTGGCAAAAATGCCTGGATATAATCACTTTATGATACAGTTACATATGCTTTCTGATCTCAGTATTTACCATGATAAATCTGCTCCTATAAGATGGTTTTTTGAAAAGAGCAACAAAATTGATAGACTGCTAACAAGACTAATAAAGAAGAAAAGAGAGAAGAATCAAACATATGCAATAAAAAATGATAAAGGGGATATCACCACTGATTCCACAGATATACAAACTACCATCAGATAATACTATAAACACCTCTATGCAAATAAACTAGAAAATCTAGAAGAAATGGATAAATTCCTGGACACATACACCCTCCCAAGACTAAACCAGGAAGAAGTTGAATCCCTGAATAGACCAATAATAGGCTCTGAAATTTAGGCAATAATTAATAGCCTACCAACCAAAAAAAGTCCAGGACCAGGCGGATTCACAGTATAATTCTACCAGAGGTACAAGGAGGAGCTGGTACCATTCCTTCTGAAACTATTCCAATCGATAGAAAAAGAAGGAATCCTCCCTAACTCTTTATGGGGCCAACATCATCCTGACACCAAAGCCTGGTGGAGACACAACAAAAAAAGAGAATTTTAGACCAATATCCCTGATGAACATCGATGCAAAAATCTTCAATAAAATACTAGCAAAAAGAATCCAGCAACACATCAAAAAGCTTATCCACCATGATCAAGTGTGCTTCATCCCTGGGATGAGAGGCTGGTTCAACATATGCAAATCAATAAATGTAAGCCAGCATACAAACAGAACCAAAGACAAAAACCACGATTAGCTCAATAAATGCAGAAAAGGCCTTCAACAAAATACAACAGTGCTTCATGCTAAAAACTCTCAATAAATTAGGTATTGATTGGACGTATCTCAAAATAATAACAGCTATTTATGATAAACCCACAGGCAATATCATACTGAATGGGCAAAAACTGGAAGAATTCCCCTTGAAAACTGGCACAAGACAGGGATGCCCTGTCTCACCACTCCTATTCAACATAGTGTTGGAAGTTCTGGTCAGGGCAATAAGGCAGGAGAAAGAAATAAAGGGTATTCAATCAGGAAATGAGGAAGTCAAATTATCCCTGTTTGCAGATGACATGATGGTATATTTAGAAAACCCCATCGTCTCAGCCCAAAATCTCCTTAAGCTGATAAGAAACTTCAGCAAAGTCTCAGGATACAAAATCAATGCGCAAAAATCACAAGCATTCTTACACACCAATAACAGACAAACAGAGAGCCAAATCATGAGTGAACTCCCTTTCACAATTGCTTCAAAGAGAATAAAATACCTAGGAATCCAACTTACAAGGGATGTGAAGGACCTCTTCAAGGAGAACTACAAACCACTGCTCAACGAAATAAAAGAGGACACAAACAAATGGAAGAACATTCCATGCTCATGGTTAGGAAGAATCAATATTGTGAAAATGGCTATACTGCCCAAGGTAATTTATAGATTCAATGCCATCCCCATCAAGCGCCAATGACTTTCTTCACAGAATTGGAAAAAAACTACTTTAAAGTTCATATGGAACCAAAAAAGGGCTTGCATTGCCAAGATAATCCTAAGCCAAAAGAACAAAGCTGGAGGCATCATGCTACCTGACTTCAAACTATACTACAAGGCTACAGTAACCAAAACAGCGTGGTACTGGTACCAAAACAGAGATATAGACCAATGGAACAGAACAGAGCCCTCAGAAATAATACCACACATCTACAACCATCTGCTCTTTGACAAACCTGACAAAAACAAGAAATGGGGAAAAGATTCCCTATTTAACAAATGGTGCTGGGAAAACTGGCTAGCCATATGTAGAAAGCTGAAACTGGATCTGTTCTTTACATCTGATACAAAAATTAATTAAAGATAGATTAAAGACTTAAATGTTAGACCTAAAACCATAAAAACCCTAGAAGAAAACCTAGGCAATACCATTCAGGACATAGGCATCATAGGCATGGGCAAGGACTTCATGTCTAAAACACCAAAAGCAATGGCAACAAAAGCCAAAATTGACAAATGGGATCTAATTAAACTAAATAGCTTCTGCACAGCAAAAGAAACTACCATCAGAGTGAACAAGCAACCTACAGAATGGGAGAAAATTTTTGCAATCTACTCATCTGAGAAAGGGCTAGTATCCAGAATCTACAAAGACCTCAGAAAAACTTACAAGAAAAAAACAAACAACCCCATCAAACAGTAGGCGAAGGACATGAACAGACATTTCTCAAAGGAAGACATTTATGCAGCCAACAGACACATGAAAAAATGCTCATCATCACTGGTCATCAGAGAAATGCAAATCAAATCCACAATGAGATGCCATCTCACACCAGTTAGAATGGCGATCATTAAAAAGTCAGGAAACAACATGTGCTGGAAAGGATGTGGAGAAATAGGAACACTTTTACAGTGTTGGTAGGACTGTAAACTAGTTCAACCATTGTGGAAGTCAGTGTGGCGATTCCTCAAGGATCTAGAACTAGAAATACCATTTGATGCAGCCATCCCATTACTGGGTATATACCCAAAGGATTATAAATCATGCTGCTATAAAGACACATGCACACATATGTTTATTGCAGCACTATTCACAATAGCAAAGACTTGGAACCAACCCAAATATCTAACAATGATAGACTGGATTAAGAAAATGTGGCACATATACACCATGGAATTCTATGCAGCCATAAAAAAGGATGAGTTCATGTCCTTTTTAGGGACATGGATGAAGCTAGAAACCAGCATTCTCAGCAAACTATCGTAAGGACAGAAAACCAAACATCACATGTTCTCACTCATAAGTGGGAATTGAACAATGAGAACACATGGACACAGGAAGGGGAACATCACACACTGGGGCCTGTTGTGGGGTGGGGGGAGTGGGGAGGGATAGCATTAGGAGATATACCTAATGTAAATGGAGAGTTAATGGGTACAGCACACCAACATGGCACATGTATACATATGTAACAAACCTGCACATTGTGCACATGTACCCTAGAATTTAAAGTATAATAATAAAAAAAAATAATCTGCTCCTATAATTGAGGCATACTGCCCTCAAAAACCTATTTGTAAACAAGATTGGACCCAGTTAGAAAAAATGAATGTACTTGTTTAGGAAGATTGCATTGCAGAACAGGCAGAGGTGCTGCACAACGATTCCTATGGAATTATTATTAATAAGGGATACTATTAGTTAATTGAATGTCAATAGAAACAATGCTAATGACTGGCTTGCTGTTAATAAATATGTGGGTAAATCTCTGTTTGGGGCTCTGAGCTCTGAAGGCTGTGAGACCCCTGATTTCCCACTTCACACCTCTATATTTCTGTGTGTGTCTTTAATCCCCTCATGGGATGTTTAGCTTGAATTGCACCTCTCAGTCTGCATGCCATTGCCACACTATGTTCAGATGATCTGCTCAAAATGGTCAGATGGTAGAAATGATAAGAAGTATGGCAAAAGTTCCTCTTATCTGGAACCATGGTGGTGTAGTGGCACCTCAACCTCAAATGATATGGCCCACTCTAGGAGCTTAACATAAGGATTTAAAATTAAAAGAACAAATATTTAAAGCATCCCAGGCACACCCGGCCTTAATGCCAGGAACTGGATTGTGTAAAGGAGCTGAAAATGGATAAAAACACTTGGAAGCTCTGTGATTTCAATGACGATTGTGCTTTTAATCTGTGTTGTTTGTCTTAGTATAGTCTACAGATGTGGATCCTGACTCCTGTAAGAAGTAGCTCACCATGACAAAGCTGCCTTTGCTTTTATCGATTTGCAAATAAGAGAAGGGGAACATGTTGGGAGCAGGCCCCCCAAAATCTGGCTATAAACTGGCCTCAAAACTGGCCATAAACAAAATCTCTGCAGCACTGTAACATGTTCATAATGGCCCTAACACCCAAGCTGGAAGGTTGTGGGTTTACAGGAATGAGGGCAAGGAACACCTGGCCCACCCAGGGCAGAAAACTGCTTAAAGGCATTCTTAAGCCACAAACAATAGCATGAGTGATCTGTGCCTTAAGGACATGCTCCTGCTGCAGTTAACTAGCCCAACCTATTCCTTTAATTCGGCCCATCCCTTCATTTCCCATAAGGGATACTATTAGTTAATTGAATGTCAATAGAAACAATGCTAATGACTGGCTTGCTGTTAATAAATATGTGGGTAAATCTCTGTTTGGGGCTCTGAGCTCTGAAGGCTGTGAGACCCCTGATTTCCCACTTCACACCTCTATATTTCTGTGTGTGTCTTTAATTCCTCTAGCACTGCTGGTTTAGGGTCTCCACAACCGAGCTGGTCTTGGTGATAACCAAAACAGCCTGGTGTTACTACCAGAATAGATACATAGACCAATGGAACAGAATGCAGAACCCAGAAATAAGACCTCACACCTACAACTGTCTGATCTTTGACAAACCTGACAAAAACAAGCAATGGGGTTAAGGATTCCCTATTCAATAAATGGTGCTGAGATCACTGGCTGGCCATATGCAGAAGATTAAAGCTGAACCCCTTTCTTACATCATATACAAAATAATTAAGGTAGACTCCTACCTCACACCACATACAAAAATGAATTCAAAATAGACAAACAACCTAAATGTAGGAGTTAAAACTATAAAACTCTTAGAAAAAAAGGAGTAAATCTTCATAACCTTGGATTTAGTAATGGATTCTTAGATATGTCACCAGAAGCTAAGCAACAAAAGAAAAAATAGAATAAGTTTGTCTCTACCAAAATTAAAAACTTTTGTGCATCACAGAACAGTTTAAGTGAAAATACAACACACAGAATGAAAGAAAATATTTGCAAACCATATATTTGATATTCATGACAGTAAAAATGTAGAAACAGTGTAAATGTCCATCAACCAATGAATGTGCAAATTTTGATATGTATTTAAAATGAGATGTCATTCAGTCATTAAAAAGAATAAAGTACTGATATATGCTGCAAGGTAGGTGAGCTTCAAAACATTAGGTTAAGTGAAAGATTCTGGCTCAAAAGATCACATATTGTATGAATCCATTTATATGAAGTATCTAGAATAGATAAATCCAGAGGTAGAATGCATTTTGGTCATTATTAGGAACTGAGGGGAGTTTTACTTTGGGTTGATGGAAATGTTTTGAAACTACATAGAGGTGCTTATACAACACTGTAAATGTATTAATTGTCTATTGTTCACTATGAAATGCTTTTACGTGAATTTTACCTTGAAAAATTATTAAACAGACAAGCATGATAAAAGCAGAGCTCTTAAGGAGATTCCAATACATCATAGTAATTTTATTTTCCCAAAATTGAAATCAAGAAAAAAAATTCAAAGATTTTTAAAATTATAAATTGGTAAATGAGTTGACTGAGACAGTGGTTTCCATTAAGAGACTGATAGTGATCTTGAAGTTGAAATGGAAATAATATCTCAAAACACAGAGTAGAAATTCCAAAGTACAGAAGTCATGAGGGGAAAAAAGGGGGACTAGGAGGAACAATCAAGAAGACCCACTAGGAGGTCCAGAAGAATAAAAAGTACCAAGTGGAAGAGAATCAATAACTAATAAATGCTAGAAAAAACTTAAACCAAAAAAGTCTAAATTTTCCTTTTGAAAATTCAGTTTCCAGGCAGAACTTAAAGAAGACATATATAAGTAAAATTTCCAACTCTGAAGATAAAGAGAAAATTATGCAAGTTTCCAAACAGAAATTTTATAGAAGGAAAACCAAACTGACATTAAACCTTTTATTTGTGAGAGTGAATACTAGAAACATCAACTATTACAGGGAGAAGAGAGCTGCCACCTGAGTATCCTATATACAATCCACATATTGCTTACTTAAAGTAAACAGGTATTTGCAAATGTGCAAGGATTCAGAGAGTATGCTTTTAGTATACCCTCTCTAAAGAAAATATGCAGGTTCTAACCAACAAATGAATCAGAACAGACTTCAAAATAGGGGAAGATGAGATGAGAAAAAGTGATGAGCAAAATCTATATATGTATGTATGTGTGTGTATGTATATGGTATATACATACAACATAAATTATTATGTATAAAAATTTATATTATACATTTACATGTATGCTATGTGAAATTATATTTAAGTGGTTAATAAGAGGATGACTGGCAATGTGTAATCTAAGTGTTAAAAACCAACTCTTAAAACAGAAGGCTGGGTGCAGTGGCTCACACATGTAATCCCAGCACTTTGGGAGGCTGAAATGGGTGGATCACCTGAAGTCAGGAGTTGAATACCAGCCTGGCCAAGATGGAGAAACCCTGTCTCTACTAAAAATACAAAAATTAACTGGGTGTGGTGGTGCATGCCTGTAATCCTAGCTACTTGGGAGGGTGAGGCATGATAATGGCTTGAACTGAGGAGAGGTAGAGGTTGCAGTGAGCTGAGATCATGCCGCTGTACTCTAGCCTGGGTGACAGAGCGAGACTCTATCACAAAATAAAAAGAAAAAAGAAAAGAAAAAGAGAAAGAAAAGAAAATATACATTGTATGAAAAAAATTTTGTAATTTTTGGAAATTAAAATACTAAATTATCTCAGCAAAGTTTAACAGTTGAGATAAGGCTGGGAAAGAGGAAGAGGCTGAGAAGTAAAAGCCATCAAAGTTCTCAAAGGGAGTGAAGAGAGTGAGAAGTGAGAACACTGACTCTAAAATCATGCCATATTACACAGAAAAGGAAATAGCAACAATGGTGATGAAAATACGTTACGTCTTGTTTTCTTACAATAGTAGAAAAATATGTGTTTGACTGTCAAGGAAAGACAAGTAACCACTTGTAGAGTAAGAAAATACAGTAGAACTTCCATATTAAAAGAGGGAACAAAGGGAATGAATAGAAACTAGGGAAAAAACAGCAAAAATTAAGAACAAGAAGTAAAAAAAAGTAATACAGTAATATATGTTATATGAAATATCAAGAAGCTGTATAACATTATTTAAAGCAGAAACTATCAGACTGAGTTAAACATGAAATCCATTCCATACTGTTTAAAACAAACACGCTTAAAACATGAAGAAAGGCTGAAAATAAAAGAATGGGTAAAAAAGACAAGGCTAACAGTAATTTTCAGAAAGCATACTGGCAATATTAACATCAAAGAGGGTAGAATTTAACATTACAAGCATTAAGGAAGAGAAAGATACATAAGGAAGTGATTTTAAAAGTTCAGCTTAAGAGTCATCAAACTATGATTAGTCAATATAGCTATCATGTATAGTAAGCAAAAACTAAATTTTAGAAAAGAGATAAATCAAAAGTGATAATTTGATTAAAATACCATTGTTAAGGAAAATAATGCACTTCAACATTTCTAAATAATAAGGTTCTAGTAGATATCATAGTAATTAAGATTACAGTGGAATTTATCAATATACTCAATAACTTGATTTTATGTGTGCATATAAATTTGTACTACTTGAATAGAGAATACACTGTTTTGTATGTCTCCTAAACATTCACAGAATTTGATCATGTTCTTGATCAGAAAGCAATACTTAAAGATGGTAGGAATATTATATATAGGTCTCAGTTGCTGATCAAAATAAAATAAAATTAGAAATCAATACACTTTAAAATGACTAAAAAACTTAACTACATGGAAAGTAGTTAATACTCTTACATAAAATCTTTGGATCCAAAAGGAAATCAAAAGTGATATTATAAATTATCTTGAAATTAAGAAGAGAAGAAGCCATATCAAAATCAATGCAACCCAGTGAAAGATGAACTTAAAGAAAACTTTTTAGCCTTAAAAAGCGTAATTATTAAAGCAGAAATAATAAAATAATGGAAACTACTACTCATCATAAGGCATTAGGCAAAAAAGCAAAGTTTTCTAGGGGAAACTAATAAAAGCAAAAGTTGACTTTAAAGAATAGAAAACAACTATAAAATTAAAGCAAGGATGAATAAAAAATATTGTAAGATATAATACATATTTACAAGATATTAAAATGGTAAAAAAAGTGTGCAATTCTGTTGTAAAACATTTGAAATTCTAGTATGTATGTATGTATGTATGTGTCTCTCTCTTTCTCTCTAAGACGGATCCAAACAGAAGTAACTAATAAATCAGTAACTACAGAAGATCCTGGAAAAGTGATTAAGACCTGCCACTACAAAACATACCGGTACTAAATACTCCACTTTTAGCAGTGGCGAATCCGTATGGGTCTGCACAGTCTCAATTCTTGCTTCCTCACAAGAAAGAATTTGACTGAGGCGCATAGGGCAGAAGGAGCCACCGAGGCAAGTTTTAGAGCAGGAGTGAAATTTATTACGTCAGCAAACTTCTGGGGTATTGCATCACTTCCCTCTTGATTCTTGCCTTGGGGTGGGCTGTCGACACTCACATGGTTGAGCCTATTTACCCAGCTTTTGAGATCTTATCAGGAAGCTGCTGATCATCAGTTTCAGGTGTTTTGTATCTATTAGGAGACGGCTTTTCTCTGGCACCAGCTGTGACCAATTATTCTTTTAGAGAGACAGTTAATAACCGTCTGACCATCACCTGATGGTCACCTGACATTCCTGATGTGTGTGTATGTAAAGCCCTCTTCTGCCCTGCTTGTGCCTAACTAGCTACCCACTGTAACACTACCACTAAATTCTATCTTACCTTTAAATAATAGGTATCAAAATACTCTTTAAACTTTCTATTTCATTTTATAAATAAAGCATTAAACTTAATAATAAAACCTGAAAATGACGGTAAAGAAAAACTACAGAAAAAAAATCATATCAGGAAAGTGTAACAAAATAAATTAACTCATGAACAAATTAAAGGAAAGGGAATTAAGGGAAAAAAATTATCATAAGAGATGCTGGAAAGGCATTTGATAAAATTCAGCAGCTATACCTAATTTTAAAAAGCCCTAAGAAAAATAAAAATGTAAGTGTGAGAAATTGTGGTAGAAACAAAGATTTGTTTTTGTGTTTAGATTCAGAAAAGCGACTGCATACTTTTAGTACCGGTTTGATATCAGCAGCTGCAGGGACACAAGCTAACATAAATGTTTTTTTCTCAACTCAGTTAAGGAATCACGAAAGGAAAAAAGGAAAAATTCCTCCAAAGTAAGGATGGCATGTACAATTCAAGTGACTATTTACATAATATGTTTCATGAACTAATGATACTCCTGAATAGCAGGTTTTAGGATTACATGGCATTCTTTAAAACACTTTTTTTCAAGTTTCAGATTTCATAAAAGACTTGATGTTAAGGTAATGATATTCTCTGTTGTAAAATAATTTGGTATCTCAGTGATCATGATACATCATTTTTTGTTTTTGAGATGGAGTCTGGCTCTGTCACCCAGGTTGGAGTGCAATGGTGCAATCTTGGCTCACTGCAGCCTCTACCTCCCAGACTCTAGTGATCCCTCCACCTTAGCCTCCGGAGTAGCTGGAACCACTGGTACATGCCATCACACCAGGCTAATTTTTTGCTTTTTTTTTCTGGTAGAGATGGGGTTTCACCATGTTGCCCAGACTGGTCTCAAACTCCTGAACTCAGGCAGCCCACCTGCCTCAGCCTCCCAAAGTGCTAGGATTTCAGGTGTGAGCCACCATGCCCAGTCGATATATCTATATCTATCTCTTTATATTTAGTGTTAAGGGCCATGCAGGGCCAGCTTCATGGGCAGAAGACTAGTGTAGTTATACAGGGTCCCGTGCTCAGAAGGGCCCCAAGCTTGAGGTTGAATGGTCTGCAGTCACTGTCTTGACAATTATAATAATTTTTCTTTGAATTTCTATTTTAAAAGTGAAGTCCAGTGGGATAATGGAGTATGCATGGTGGTGAGAGGAAGAGGAGAACTTGGAGCCTGGGTCACATGTAGTCCCTGCCTCCTACCACCTCTCTGCCTCCTTGGATGGATTCTCAGCTGCCTGCTCTCTGACTCCCAGCTCTCCAGACCCTGCCTGTTTTCCAGCTCTCTGTTCTCCATCAGAGACTGCTACAACCCTCTCTTTGGCATGGGTTTAGGAACCAGACAAGAAGGGCTGGGACTGGATACCTGAGCCCCATGGCATCTTGGGGCAGGGCTTGGCAGCTGGTTGGCAATATCATAGTGCTTTTGGGCACATGACTCCTGGAAGCAAGCTTTTTTCCACCCCATCCAGTTTTGAGTTAGATCTGTTAGAGGCAAGGGTTGCAATCCTCAGGTTCATTCATCTGCGATTGATTAGAGCAGCAGCCTTACGGTAAAGGGAGATTCCTAGCTTTACTTCCCTTCTCCTAAGGAAGGAGGATATGAAGCCTCTGTCTGGCTGCTGGCCAGCTGGGGGACTTGGCAGCTGTTGGGCTCCAAGATAGGCCAAATCACAGTCCAGTTCCTGAGTGCCTGGTGAATGTCTATACTTGCCC
The DNA here is from genome assembly GCF_000001405.40 of Homo sapiens. NCBI lineage: Eukaryota > Metazoa > Chordata > Mammalia > Primates > Hominidae > Homo > Homo sapiens. Next base: position 87,526,463 of record NC_000005.10, read on the forward strand.
AAGAACATTGCCATGCTCCAGAGAGTGTGAAATTAAAGAGCAAATTAAAAACTACAACAGGCCAAGAAAGAAAAAGTTGTAGAAGGAAAATGTTTTTAGTTTAGTACCATTAGTGGTACATTTTTCTTGCATTTTGAACAAAGAACCCCATATTTCCATTTTGCACTTGGCCCTACAAATTATGTGGCTGACGCTGGTGTTAGGAAACACAATATAGAAGATCTGTAATTTACAAATGTGAACAGAGCATAGTCAATTTCTTTTTCTTTCTTTTCTTTTTGAGACAGAGTCTCACTCTGTCATGCAGGTTGGGGTGCAGTGGCACGATCTCGGCTCACTCCAACCTCTGCCTCCTGGGTTCACGCAATTCTCATGCCTCATCCTCCCTCGCAGCTAGGATGGCACACACCACCACACCTGGCTAATTTTTTTTTGTATTTTTAGTAGAGACGGGCTTTCACCATGTTGGCCAGGCTGGTCTCGAACTCCTGGCCTCAAGTGGTCTGCCTTCCTCGGCCTCCCAAAATGCTGGGATTACATGCATGAGCCACTATGCCCAGCCAGAGCAGGGTCGAATCTCATCTTATTTGTTTTAGCGTGATTAGTCAGATAGTAAGGCTTTATTTTCAAGTTCACAGACTTGTAAAAAATTTATATCTGTCTTTTCAGGATAGAGAAAGACTATGGCAAAGCTTCTGAATAAACAAAAGTATCCTCAGGTTCATGAGATTGTTTCTTCCTTGTGCAGGGAATCCATATCAGATTGTGATTTATAGTTCTCTACTAATCGAGGCTGCACAAAAGTTTCAAAGGAGACTTTTTAAATCAGAAAACCAAAGAAACTATACCTAATATGGTAAAAATTATTTCACAAAATCAATAACCGTCGCAGTCAAAATGCAGTCAAAACTTTGCAACATGCACAAAATTATTAAAAATATTTCATAAAATTACCTTCAGGCAATATGTATAAGGCATATGTAAAACATAAATGAATGTTATGTTTAGACTTGGTTCCATACCCAAGATATCTCATTATGTATATGCAAATATTCTAAAATCAAAAAAAATTCTAAATCTGAAACACTTCTAACCCCAAGCATTTCAGATAAGGGAAACTCAGTCTGTACAATATATATACACACGCATTATTTAATTATATGGACATATATTTACAAGAAGCCAATTTTTAATAATATAATCCATTCTAAAACTTATAAATGTAATTACAAAACCTTATAAAATTTAGAAAAATACAAGATGTATATGTCAAAATATGGAAGTTTTTTGTTTCTTCCCCATATCACTGTTAAGAGCTTGATATGTATTCTTCCCAAACTTTTTTCTACACACACACACACACACACACACACACACTCACACACACAGTTTGTTTTTCCTTAAAGATAGGCTAGTATCCTATTCTTTGTAATTGACATTTAACTTTCTTGCCCTACCTTCCAACATATACCTTAACAGTTCCCCATTATAATACTCAAGCAACTGCCTTACTTTTCTTTGAGTTGTTTCATAAAGTAAATGAGCCATAACTAATTGAATCATTTTCATATTTCTGAGCAAATTGGTGTCTCCAGTTTTTGTGATTATGAATATTGTTGTAAAAAAAATTCTGCCTTTAATAACTGTTCTTGCCCTCTTGCCAAAGACCACCAGAAAGCAAGTTGGGCTTATTGCTTGTTGCAGTAATGGAGACCACACACATCATGAGGAGCCACAGGGCCATCTCACCTAAGAGTGTGTTAGGAAGGACTTATAAAATTTGCGTTGTGGCTAGGTAATTCTGGATAAGGTTCAAGGAAGTGGTCTTTGTTTGTTTGCTAGTGTTGTTTTGCTTTGCTTTGATCTCATTTCTTCACAGTCACAAAGTGACCCTGTCTGATGTTGGTGTTCTAGGAGACCATTATGTCCAACAGAACATCTCTACGGGCATCAGACAAGCAACATCAAGGCCTAACTGTAAGTGTCAGGCCAGTTCTTGGATGTCAGGAGCTGATTTCTCTTTCTCAAAATCAATCCTACAGAAATATTAATACAAGTGTCAGGATCAAGGAGTATGTGTATTTTAAATTTTAAAGATATTCCCAAAAGGCTGTACCAAACGTGTATCCCACCACCAAGGGAGGGGTGATGAAAGGTTAGCTGGGAAGCCCCAGTGGGAAATTTCTTTTAATGAATAACTTCGCTCAGAGCTGATACATATAGCCATAATCCTTTCATTTCTCTCAGTAAGGAGAAAGTAAGTAGGAGGAAAACAGGAGAGGTCTTTATTACCTAGAACCTTAATCAAAGCTTTTTATCTCTGTCTTTGGACTCAGGTCAGCATGTCACTAAAACATGCAAAAACAAGAGGAAAGTCTCATGATTTTTTCATATGTTTGTCTTTTATATTCTACAAAATGGGGAAGTAAATCTTCTGTTATAAATAATCCTTTAGAAACATATCATTCTATTCAAAGTGGAGCCTCTGCCATTTTTCTGAGGAAAGAGACTTGCTGCTTTTATAACTGTCTGACAGTTGGAAGTTTCTTACCATTTATGTTTTTAATTGATGATTTCTTGCTTGATATTTGACAGAGATCAAGCAAGCAAGTGGGAAGTTGTGTTGTTTTTTTCTGGCAAAGAACAATCAATGGAAAAAGAGCATGAGAATGGCCCTTCAGAGTAGCATAGAGAAGTATCACGTGGCCATTAAAAATCCGTGAATGTTAATTTAGCTGAAATAATTCCCATGTCATGTTTTTTGGTAGACAAATTTAACATATTGGCATGCAATATATAAAGGGATACCTGGATTCTCAAAGCCCTGGATAGTCAATCAAAAGGAAAAAAAGGCTGGGGGCGGTGGCTAACGCCTGTAATCCTAACACTTTGGGAGGCTAAGGCAGGCAAATCATCTGAGGTCAGGAGTTCGTGACCAGCCTGGCCAACATGGTGAAATCCTGTCTCTACTAAAAATACAAAAATTAGCCGGGCATGGTGGTGCATGCCTGTAATCCCAGCTACTCTGGAGGCTGAGGCCTCCAGAGGCCTGGAGGAGAATTGCTTGAACCCAGGAAGTGGAGGCTGCAGGGAGGTAAGATCGCACCAGACTCCACCTCAAAAAAAAAAAAAAAAAAAGAAAGAAAAAGAAAAGAATATTTTCTTAAATATTGTCCTGATGCACTCTGGTCTCTTGAAAAATGCCATTCTCTTTAGAGTTGAGGAGATTTTTAGTATGAAAGTCATCCTAACCATGCTTTTAATAACACAAGCAGAGATTATTTTGCTTCATGTTTTGGTATGCCAACAATTTTTCTTTTCCTTTTCTTCTTTCTTTCTCTTTCCTTCTTTTTCTCTTTCTTTTTCTTTTTCTTTCTTTCCTTCCTTCCTTTCTCCTTCCTTCCTTCCTCCTGTTCCTTCCTCCCTCCTTCTCTCTCTCCTTCCTTCATTCCTTCCCTTCTTCCTTCCTTCTTTCTTTCTCTTTCTTTCTTTTTTCTTTCTTTCTTTTTCTTCCTTTCTTTCTTTACTTTTAAACTAATGAATAGTCCTCATATCACTGCAGTCATAGCAAAGCAATCACTACACTCAAGGACTTCTGAATGTTTAAGAATTATTTTTTTCTGCTCTTAATTACCACCTGTCTACTCTTCTTTTTACTTGGTCATTTGTTTTGTCTCTCTCCGTAATGGTAATAAAGACCTCAAAAAATAAATATGTGTTGAACCAAGCTTGTTTGATTTAAAATGCCTTCCTAATATAATGTTAATGGACTCTCAAGGCCTCCTTTATGCTTGCCTTATCCTACCTATTGGTTTTAGAACTAATTAGATTTAGTTATTAGTTTTAGCTCAGAGATCTTTCTTTTTCCATTCAGTCTTATGAGGAGCTATAAAAAACTCTTTCATCACAAACAAACTCTGAGAAAATAATTTGTTGACCATTTTCAAAGAGGGTGAGGGGACAGGGTTCCCTCTCTTATGAATGTGATGACTGAAAATGAGGCCATCAAACATAACTATTCTTACTTAAGGTACTGAGAAGTGGTTTTGATATCTAATAGAGATATTATCAAGTTGAAAGTATGCATACTTTCTACAGACAGACAGCATGACTTGCAGAATATTTTAGGCTTCTATCTGCTCCCATTATTATGTCTTGTGTACATTATCTTGTAGGAAAGGCCAAGGCCTTGTCGTCTCCTATTCTAAACTTAGTGAAAGTTTTAAAATCAGGTATAGAGAAGAATTTTTAAATGATAAATAGTACCAAACCCAGATTTTCCAATTTTCTTGGCATAGTATTTAACCTATTTCCCATTAATTTCAATGCATAACCTCTACTGTGTACTCAAGACGATCTTTCTGTTCCACACTATGCTTATTCATACATTTAATTTTTCACCTTTTCCCCCTCAAATTGATCTTTATTTCATTGAAAAAGCAAAAAAGAGACTTGTAAGGTATATTAATCGAAGGGTGCTGATGGTTAGAGTAGATGCCTGGGGCTGGAACGAGGGCTGAACCTGGAAAGATGATCTGAAACACATCTAAGGACAGATCAGTCTCTTGGGCTTATGTCAAATCTTCTCTTCCCTCTGTATATCTATTAATACATAATTTTCCACTCCCCATCAACTAGAATCATTTGTCTAAAAATTGATGCTTTTTCATGGCCTTACTTGGCCCCTAGCCTAACTCATGACATCTTTTTATGGACTGTAGGCTGCCAAATAGTTCAGTCTTTAATTTCAGCTTCTCAAGAACGAGTTACTTATTGAACTTGTTTATCTTTTCACAAAAGACTATGTCACAGGTTGTTGACAATGCTAAGAATCAGTAGCCCTTGAATCAGATGCCTACTCCTAGTTGACACTGCTGTGGCTAGAAAGAAGCAAATCACCTGGTGGAAGGGCCTGATTATGACCTTTAGGAGTACAAAGAATCAAAAACTATAGTGTGAAATGATAAGCTTACATGTGTGCTCTAATTAAAATAGATTGATTCAATAACTTCAAATCTTAAAACTCTGGATAGATTTATTAGAGTGAAATCTCCCTCCTTCTTACTCCCTCCCTTCCTCCTTCCTTCTCTCTTTTGTGTACCCACACTTTTCTGGTCACTTAAGCTGAGCAATTGTTTGGTCTGAGTACTGGGAATATGGCACTGTCTGGTAGAAAACACCACTATGTGGTCAACAATGGCTGTGTAAAGATTAACTCCTCCAGAAGAGGATATGGATGGCAGCAATATTAACCTCACCAATGTGTTCAAGTTGTCCTTTTCTCCTCCTATCAAAATATGTTCATCATAACAGGGCCTGCTCAGGTACAACTTCTTCAATGAGGTTTTGCTTAGCAACCTTGGCATTTATTGATTCCTTTTTCCCTCTGAACTCCTGGAACCCATATAATTAAAACCAAACAAATTTCAGCTTTTTATTTACATTTACTTTGTATTTTCTGTTTTTATTCACATTGTTGGTGTTTAGACTCATTTTAATTTAAAGATGCATGAAGACAGGATGCATATTATATATTTGTTCTACATTCCTCCCAACCCCAGGTTTAGTGCTTTATACAGAGTATGGGCTTAAGATATTTTACTAATTAGCTAAAAACACATAAAATGTTCACATTTTATCTTTTCCTCTCTAAACTTTGGTCTGTTTATTTATAAGTACATTATGAGGCTGTATACATGTAAACGTTTCTCATGCCACTCTCACATCTTCTAGGTCCACTTTTTGCGTTTGAATGTATCCTGCCAGAACCTCACCCCTTGCCTCTGGTTTTCTGTGTGATCCTTCTCTGCTACTGCCTTGTAGTATGCCTACAGCACTAATTCAGTTATTTTGGGGGCATGCAAAAGCCTGGAAGTATGAGAGGGCTAACACCTGTTGGGGCAACTCTTGACCAATGGGAGGTGGTGGATAAATAAGTTTCTCTGTCACATCTTGGTCAGACAATTCTGAGGTTCACTCTATATACCTCCTCAGAATATTCTCAGTGAGATTGAGTCCTCATGACCTGCAACTGTAACAGCAACTTTTTCAAGGTCTTTTCATTGGGCCCAAGATCTTTTCTTTATTTCTTCATGGTTTCCCCATTTTTTTCCTTGGATCACTTCCCAAAATTAACTACCTGCATCAAATCTTTGTCTCACGCTGTGCTTCTAGGGGGAAACCAGACTAAAAGAGCCCGTATTTTAAGTTTTCACAAGAATAATCTTAAAATGTTGAATAATTTAAAAGATTTCTTTACTCCCTCCCTAACTCTATTGTACATTCAAAATAATCATTAGACTAAGAGTATCTTCTCATAATGTTCTCTGTCATTCAAGATCACTTTCTGCGACAATCCATGGTCTGTGTTGGTGCTGCTTTGAGTTTATAGCCTAATGTGTCTTCTGCCAAGGGGTTCCCAATTGAATATTCATCATGGTCAACAGAGGTGTGTGCAAAGTCACAAGTAAAGAAAGAAAATTATTATTTTTACTTTGACACATAGCCTGAGAGGTGATGTATCTTCTCAAACTTTCTGGGAACAAATCTACATATCCAGATCCAAAAGGTACATCCATTCATTCAGCAACATTTAGTAAATAATTGCTAGATGTCAGGCATTATGCTTTAGTAAAATGGTGATAGTAATAGTGCCTGTCTTATAAGATTGTTGTGAAGATTAAATGTTGTAAAGTTACTATATGAGAAGTTTGGTACCTATCAAGTACTCAATAAATGCAATAAATTATAACAGGGGCTAGAAAGAAATAAATCACCTGTTGGTGAGACTCCAGGGTGGGAATACAAAATTCATAAAGAGATAATTCCTGCATTCAAGGAAATTAAATTCTTTTGGGAGGGTAGACATAAATAAATATTTTCTGTACAGAGTGATGAGTACCAAAAATGTGGTATGTCTAATGTTAAATGATGAGTTAATGGGTGCAACACACCAACATGGCACATGTATGCATATGTAACTAACCTGCACGTTGTGCACATGTACCCTAAAACTTAAAGTGTAATTTAAAAAATTATAATTTTAAATTATAATTATAAATTATAATTATATATAAATTATATTAATTATATATAAATTATAATATATTATATTATATATTATATATATTATATATTTTATATATATAATGTATATTATATATAATATATACTGTATATTTTATATAGTATATATTATATATTTTTATATAATTAAAATTATAATTTAAAATTATAATATAAATTATAATTTTAAAAATGTGGTATGTACCCATTACAGAAGTAGCACAAAATGTGGAATGATTATTTCTTTTTGAGAGTGCTTAGGGAAAATGTAAACATTTTCAAGGCACTGGGAAAGATAAAAATTCATGCATTCATTAAAAATATTACAAATATTTGCTGAGAGTCTACTATGTAACAGTCATTGTTCTATGGCACTAGGTATACAAGGACATGACTGATAATCTTAGAGATGCAATGCTTTGTTCAAAAGATGACTGTCCAAGCATTCTGATATTTGAATCCCAAGCTATTCTCCTGATACATGAGCTATTCGGCAGAGAAGAAATCTGGGCTCCCCCAGTTGGGCATGAATGACCCAAAATATCTTTGTCTTACACAATTGATTTGATAGTCTTATTCTAGCTTTTCTCTGTGTGAGCTAATGTGACCATTTTAATTTCTCAATCAGAATAGCCAGAAGTTATAATTTGGCACCACATGGCAAGTTCTGGCAATACTTGGCCCTGCATTACTACATGGCAAAATAGCTGAGCTGGGTTAGCAGCTTCTTTCTACTTGGGCTTAACTGTTTATATAATGACTATATAAATATTATTTACAGTTATGCAGTATAATGAACTTTTGATCACTCTTTTTAAACTTTTAGAGAATAATTAAAAGGTGTACAACAAAAAAGTGTGATCAAGTTTATTTTCTTAGTTGTTTTCCATGTTCCCAGAATTAATTTGTCTCCAGACTCTGTGACCAAAGTGTAAATTTCCTTTCAGTTCCATTCATGCATATTAGAAAGTCTACCAGTTTCATTTGGTTCTAAGATAACCCTTCTGAAGTCCTCCGGCCTTCTGGCTTTCATCTGTACAGTTGTTCTCTGAGTCTCCTGTGCAATTATCTATTAGGAATTCTCTTAACCTTTTTAAAGCTATATTCCCATTTCATTACTTCCACGCATTTCTCTTTCTTGGTAACTCTATTTTCCTTGATGGTTCACACCCTCCAGTGGGTTCTTGAGAAAGAGTGTATAGAACCTAATTTTTGAGTTTTTGTATGCCTGAAGATGTCTTGATTTACCAAAACAATTGAGTGTTAGTTTGGCTGGCTAAAACATTCAGTATTGGAGATGTTTTGCCCACAATATTTTAAAGGTGTCGGTCCATTGCTTCTCCAGATTCAGTTTCCTTTTAGGAAGTCTGATACCATTCTGAATTTTGAGCCTATTAATAAAACCTGTTACTTTTCTCTGGAGAAACTTTTGAATGTTTCTATTTTTGCCATGGGGGTGAAGTTTCATGACTATGTACGTTAGTGTGGTCCATCTGTATTCATTGTGCTAGGTATTTGAAGAGGTCTTTCAATTTGAAGATATTTGTTCTTCTTTCGTAAGCACTTTTTTGTATCACTTCTTAATAATTTTCTTTGCTTTACTTTCTCTTATCTCTCTGAAACTCTTGTTTTATAATATTGACCCATTACCTGGTCTTCAGTTTTTTTTTCTATTAGTCATCTTTAGTAGCCTTTTTATTTCTCCATGATATTTGTACAGTCGTAGTTGCTGCTGCTGCTGCTGCTGCTGTTCTATTTCCTCTTCCTCCCCTTCCATTCTCTCTTTTCCTACTTACTCCTCCTTCTTCATAGATCCAGTATCTTCTCTTATTTTCTGAGTCTTCTGAAGAAAACATTTTAAAGTTTCTTTCAGTGCCTGGATTTTCTCTGAATCCTTCCTTTCTTTCTCTGTCTCTCTCTTCCTCCTCTCTCCTCCCTTTCCTTCCTTCCTTCCTTCCTTCCTTCCTTCCTTCCTTCCTTCCTTCCTCCTCTTTCTCTTTCTTTCTTTTCTTTCTTTCTTTCTTTTCTTTCTTTCTTTCTTTTCTTTCTTTCTTTCTTTCTTTCTTTCTCTTTCTTTCTTTCTCTCTTTCTTTCTTTTTCTTTCTTTCTTTTTCTCTTTCTTTCTCTCTCTCTCTTTCTTCTTTCTTTCTTTTTCTTGTTTTATTTCTTCTCCCTTTTCTTTATTTATTTGAACTGTTATGCTAGAGTCTTCAAATTTCTAGTGATCATTGATTGTCTGTTTATATTTAAAAGAACCTCTAAATGACTGACTGAAAATTGTGATGAATAAGCAGGAATAGTAAATTATAAGCTTCATTGTAGGGTGATTAGGCAGGGACTTGGCTGGCTGTTGCATGACTTCCAGCTGTCTTTATCTGTGGGTCTTTTCTATTGCACTGGTCAGCTTCCCTGAAGTGGGATCCTATGGCCTCCTGTCTGCCACTTAATTACTGACTGCTGGAGTATTTGGAAACCAGAAAGGGAAAGATTTTTTGGTGTTTCCAAGATATTGGTATCTTCAAGAGCTGAGTTACTCTTCCTTAACCTCTTCAGATGTTAAAACATTATTTTCATTTGCTTTAATGCATAATTTTTACAACCCGTGTGTGTGTGTGTGTATGTGCGTGTGTGTGTGCGTGTATGAGTAATACCAGCTTTCTCCATGGCTGGTTCCATCATTTACCCCTCATTGATCTGCTTTTAGAATAAAGACTGCTGAGATAATCAATGAAAAGGGATACTTTAGATAAAGCATCAGGAAAAGCCTTTCTGCAAAGTGACATTTAAACAGAGATGAAGAGGATAAAGAAGCAGCCACTGTGAAGCGCAGGGGAAAGTGCCTTCCAGTCTGAGAGAACAGTGTGTACAGAAACATTCCTTGGGAAAGAGTTAGGCATATTTGAAAACTGACCTAAGGCCTATATAGCTAGAGTAGATATTGAAGGTCAGAGTAGTACAGGATGATTGAAGAGTTAGGCAGAGCCAGGTCAGGCAGGTCCTCATTGTCATGACAAAGGCTGGCCTCATCACCTGGTACAACTGGAAGCCACTAATAGTGTTTAGCAATGGAAGCAATGTGAAGGCTGGGAAGTGACACTTCAAGGTGTGATACTGGGAGTGGGCTGTGAGGTGGGATGCAGGTTGAGAGCAGTAATTCCCTACCAAACAGGCACATATGGCTGCTCCTTAAGGTCATCATTAGCTTTGATACAACACAAACTCTCCACAGAGTCTTAGTAGATGTTCTTACATTTATGGATGATCATACCAATGTGAACAGAGAGATCGAGTTTAGTCAATAACCACACAGAGAGCTAGAAGGAAGTAAATATTAGAACCATAATACATTCCTTCCATTGGAAAGTAGACGAGAAGATATTTCATTAAAATGCACATTGTTTTTTAAGAGAAATATGTTCACAGTCTCTGAGCATTATTGATATGCTTTGAATAACCCTAAGATAATTTCTTCTGGGGATAAGACTATAATTGAGGTAAATCTATACTTCAATTTTAGCAGTTTAAATTTTTCTTCCAGAAGCTTGTTTGGGGCTAGGACTAACTTTAGAATTGCTTTCAATGATTGAAGTCCTTCTGCAACCCTCCCAGAGAGTAGGAAACTCACTTGATTCCAGAGGTTTTCTCCCCCACTGACTTGTTCCAGAAGGTTCAACAGTCTCAGTATTAATGGTTTTAAGAGTTAATAAACAGTTTTGTTATTTTAAACAGTTAAAAAAATGTTAAAATGTGTTAACAATCTTCAGAGCAAGATATTTTCTTCTTTATATGTAAAAAAAAATCACAAGAAATTGGCTTTACTAAATAAGAGGAGGAAGGCTTTAAGTGGTGTGGTCTGACAGTAATTTGTATTAGAGTCTAGAGGAGCATATTTGTAATGTCTTGTGGTAGTACATTTATCTCTTGGTGACAGAAGGAATAATTGCTTTAGAGAGCATATCAGTGGCTGTTTAAAAATTTAACTCTTTATTTCCTCAAACCTAAGGTTACAAAAGTGAGAGGAGAAAATATGAGAAATATAATTCAGGCAAAACAGGAAGTATTTGTTAACTAAAAAAAATATGCATTATCCATTGTCAAGGACTGGTGAAAAGCCTTGAAGGGTAATGAAAATATTTTTCATTATACACAAGTAAATATCATTCATGTATTGCTATTACTGTTATGCACTATTATTATTTCTGGCTGTTATTTGCAATAGCCTGTATAACATGGTTTTCAAATTAAAAACCCCTAGATAAAGTGGTTTTTGTTCAGAAATGAACTGTGTTTAATAAGTTGTTAATTATTAGGCTTTGCTGTCTTATGTTCTCAAATTTGACAGCCTTAATGGCTTCTCGAATACTATCCTTTTTTAACCTACTTTTGTATGAAGTTTGTTCTTCTTCAAGTTCTTGATTTCCCTTGAAAAGAGTTGTTGATATTTATGTCTCCCTCGGTTTCCAGTCAGCTCCCTGAGGGCTAGAATGGCATCTCGTTTGACCCCATCAAAAGGTGCAGTGCTTGGGTATAGTTGAAGTGGCACCTCAAGACACAGGGGTCACATAATTTATTGTTTAAATTGATCACTTCTGAAAGTGAAAGACAGATTAATAATTGTGCTGAGACCGCAGATGTAAACTGTCCAAATCAAACCAGGATGCATGATTACTCTTCTTTAAGGCAGCCAGGGTGGAAACACAGGTGAGAATCTAGCAGAATCAGATTTTTAAAGATATCCTGATTATTCTTCAATTTAACATGGAAAGATTGAGCCATAAAAATATTTTAAATTACTTTTATTATAACCCTATAGAAACCCACAATTAAACACTAAATATGACTTATTTTGTCCTCTCAAAGTGACTCACCTTTAAAAGAGAATGAGGAGATGTGTGTGTATGTATCTATAAATGTGTGTGTGTGTGTGTGTATATATATATATACACATATATAAAGTATATATATCTATATATGGTGTTATGTCATACTTTTTGCCCTATTTGTATTTTTTCTCTTAAATCTATTGATTTTGCATAATGTAGGAGCACACAATTTTGAAAGGAACTGATTTCCTGAAAGGGTCCAGCCATGCATTGAAGGAAGGGGTAGATTGCCAACTAAAAATGCATTTGTGTTAAGCAATATTCAGCTTGCAGCTGGCACATAGTAGGCATTCAATTAATATTTTATGAATGAATGAAAAAATAAATAAATGATGAATACTAGCTTAGATATTTTTCCCTGTAGGGCCTGTGGCTAGCCAGGTTCATGCTGTTTCTTCAATTTATCGAGGTCACTTTGAATTCTGATCTTTTCTTCTGAGGTGTTAGCAATCCCTTCTAACTTGGTGTCATCTGAAAAATACTACCTGTGTGAAATGTGTGACTGAGTTAAGCTGGGAGTGTCATGTTGGACATTTTCTTAAACTAGAACACAGCTGGAAATTATTACACAACCAAAAGCATACTTCATTTTGGTCCTATCAGGCCAGCCTTGTCCACATTTGACTGATTTTTCACTTATCATCCATAATCAATCACTTAATTTCTTCACTAAATAGAAAATAAGATGCACAACGAAGCCTCATGAAAATTAGAGGACAGAAACTGTAATAGATTAGGGCACTATGGAAATACCTTTTAAATGTACTTTGTAAATTATACTCCAGTGCATACCTATTGTATATTCCTCAATAGGCAAGTCTTGACATATAGTGTATAGAAACAATCTATTATCGATTTTCCCATAGGGCAGATGTAAAATCTCGAATGCACTCATATTCCTCTTTCAAAAATTTTGGTAGAAAAATCTCTCACTGCTGGGAGCTTAATTCTCTTCAAGTTTTGTAATCAATTCACTATTTAGTTACCAAGAAAGCTTTTTTAACATCAATAAATAATAATAATCTTGTGTTAGATTAAAAATACTTAGTCTTCTAAAATGCACACAGCAAATTTTTAGATTTTTTAAAATACAAAGATGAATAGTAAGAGATAAGTCGATCAGTGATATGTATGCAACATGAAAGAAATAACCGAGATAATTATCCAGGTAATTTAAAATAAAATTCTCTTTTGAGTATTTTTCTGATAAATGAAGTAAAAGTTGCCTCACTTGAATTTATATTTGTAGATTCATGTCACCATGGAAACTACTAAGCCATTGCTCAAAGATTAGTAGATTGTATCTACGTTTTGTTCTTTTTCTTTCCTATTCTAAAATTTAAAAAAGACTTTATTGTGTTTCTATTATTTAAAAAATATGAAGTGCCATTTTACTAACATATAAAATAATTAAACATTTTTAATTTTTGTGCTATATGCCTTTTTCCTTTGGGGAAAATATGACAATGTAGGTAAAACATAAATATTTCCATGGAGTAAGTTTACATGACAAAGGGAAAAATATCCTTCTAATGATAAAGTCCCTTCTTCTACAACACCTTTAAAGTTCTGTAACATGTTTTAATAGCTCAGGACCACAGTCGCAACACTCCTTTTGATCCATAAGTGGCAGTATCTATTTGTATGAGGAGGTACAATTGGCAGTGTGCATTCCCAATGTTGGTGATGATCTGTATGTCACAGGCTTCATTTCCAACAATGTTATATGTAAATTAGTTATACCTTCATGCCAGGGTAGAATGCCATTCACAGAGTAATTGCCAACATTTTTCCTGGTCATTCTATAGGTGGAATGAAAATAGCCATTTAGAGATCTATTTCTATGAATTAACAGGAAAAAAATATTATGTTGTACACATTCTTTACATTATTTTTGTAACAGTTATGTTCCTTTTTGGTTACATATTTAATATTATATTAAATGGAATTTGAATGCCCCTTCAGTATTTAACCTACTCTCAGCATTTTTTAAACACCTAGTGATTTTATATTGTTTAGAGTATAAGAATTATATAAAAATAAATTCTGTTGCAAATTATTTAAAGTCTTTAAATGCCATGAATGAAATATATGTTGACTAGATGTGTTAGAAATTACTCTCAGTTATTTTGGTAGTACGTAAAGCACAAATGTTTAAGTTAATTTTCTTGCTTTACTAAAAAGTGTTTGCTGTTTCTGAGGGTTTCTTTTGATTTCTAAGAGGAGCAGTACACATGGACCTAAGCACAAATAATGGCAAAGCTAATTGTTTCAAATGACAAGAGCTTAAAATTCTTAGGGAGGGAAATTTAGCAAGCAGACTTTGAAAATCTATGAAGTGAGAAAAAGGTACTAATAGGTGAATTAGGAACATAGACAATTTTTATTATAGCATGTGTGGGCTTTCCTCATTCCATTTAAATTTTCTCTCATTTTAGAAATGTAGTGATATATACTCCTACTTTTCAGTTTCACAGCAAAAGTGAAACAACTGCTTTCCCCCCACACAAAATGATTTGTAAATGCATTCTGTGAATAAAACACATTAAACGCCATTTGCATATAGTACGTTAACACATGAGAAAAATGGTTCACACAGTACATTAGGAAGGAAATAAACAGAAATGACTTTAAAATGCCTGCTATATTCATAACAATTTAAAAGATAACAGAGCAATGTATTTCAGGTGCATTGGACTTAATTCAGTGACAATGTTTTCTTTGGAAGCCCTTATTTACTAATTTTTTTTAAAAACACTCCTTTGCCAATTGCAGTGCTAAGCTGCCAAGATTTTCAGAGCTGACCAGGAGGTGGAGATCTCATGCAAATGAACTCTTCCCCTTGGCTGGCAGCCCACAATGACTGATTCAAAAGAACACTTTAACCCAGAAGATGAGTCTGAGCTGATTATTGCTGGCCAGAAACCACTCCAGTGTTCCATGCTAGATGGGAGGTTGCCTTCCAAATACTATATTGCCTTCCAAAATTTACTGGCTCCATTTCCGAAAAAGGAAGGGTTCAAGTTTTTTCTCTTTTTTAAAAGCAGAAATCCCCATATATTAAAAACCTTCCTATCTTTAAATTAAATTTCTAAGCTCCATTTTCTATGTCCCTCAACTTGTGTAACAACCGCTTACAGGAGTGTATGTGTACATCTTTATTCCTAGGCTGTCTGAATTTTACATGGCTAAGTTTCACTGTTTAATAATATATTGAATCTGAAAGAAATGTTGAAAAATATATATGTGTAAGTCTCAAAGTTTTATTAGTTTTTCTAGTGTGAACTGGCATACGATGTAATTTTGAAGAATAGTATAATGAAGGTATGTTGAATTGGCGAGATGCAAGTCCAGCAGTATATTATAACATCGTCATTTTACTTCAGATTCTGGTTTCATATACACTTCCGCCTTTGGTAATTTACATAAACATGCATAGTCTATGAATAATGCATAAACCTTATTTTAAATGCAGAGCTTTCAACTCTCGCAGTGCACTAGTATACACACCCATTTGATTGGCTCTGCCCTGTTTTCATTACTCACAATTTCTTGGAACACAAAAGAGGTTGAAAAGGCTGACAGGAATGGACAGTATTTTTTCTTGTGTGTGTGGGAAATATTTGTTTCCTTTTCAAAGCAATTGGTGTTGCAAAGTTTTGTCTGTGATTATTGTTCCTGGTTGTTGTTATTTTTTTTCCAAGAAAGAATGCATTAAAATGTCTGAACCTGCAAAACAGCAATCACAATCAGATACTTTATTTATTTTTTTATTTTTAAAGGATACTGCAGAAATTGTTTTCTATTTGCATAAATCTGAACACCAGGCTATAATAAGGAAGCAACCATTAGACTTTTGGGGCAATATCCCAATTACACTTGACTTAAGTGGGTAATCTTAAAGCATTGATTGAATAGTTATGCATCCAGAAAATATTAAAAGTTTAGCATTAAATTGTGCTTATTCAAGTAGAATTGAATATTCTGATTAACGTACACACATGAGTCCTCTGCATTTGAGACATTGTGATTACTTTGTTTTCATATGAGCTTATCTATATGAAATAATCCATCCTATGATATAAGAGGATATAGATATTTTTATTAAAATGGCAGTAATTAATTAAATAAAAAGCAATACAGTGGTATGTAACAACTTTAAAAAAAATTTTGTATTTGTTTACTAACCACCCTGTGATTTAACATTTTTGATATTGTTACTAAAATAATAATGCTTTGCTTTACGATAGTAAGAAATTTCCAATCTCTTTAAAAAAATTACTTCTTATTGTCATTTTTTATTCCTTTTTTCAGTTTCTCCTTATATATCTTTAAGATTTTGTTCGTTTTTCTCTTCTCTGCTTTTTTCCCTTTTTGCATAAGTTTTCTTTCACTCTCTATTTTAACACATTGTTGGACATTAATCACCAAATTATACCTGATATTATCTTCCCTTTTATTAATTCTTTTACTTATTTCTTTTAACATCAGATTAAGCTGTTACAAGAATTTATTTCATTTGATGAATTCTCTATTATGCTACAGAAAATGGATATTTGGTTTAAGTGAAAAAGGAGGAGCTTTTGCTGCTAGAGTTACTTTAGGGAGTACTCTCCCTTTGAGGACCATAAAGTCTTGATTTAATTATTTTGCAGGGAGTTACCAAATTCTTCCTTTGTAGGTTTACATTAGAGACACTTGGAGATTAATGAGCAAAAGAAGTCTTATGGGTCACTATGTTTGGATGTTATGCAGAGCTTTAAGACAATGAGCATCCATTGACAATAAGACAGATTTAAATACTAGGAAAAGAGGTGTGAAGCTGAAAACTTAGGTTCACACTTAGTGACTGAAATTTAAAAGGGCTAGCAGCAAACTCAAAGTAGTGCACTTCGCCTACAAGAAGGTGAAGCAATTTTCTTCAGCATTCACTGTGAGAAAATGAAATTACACCTAGCAGATGTTGTTCTAGTGATTTAGAAACAAAAGATACAAAAAGTTGGGGAAGCATATGCATAACTAGTCAACTATGTTGCTTCAAGAGAGATAGTCAACTGAAGTTAAAAATGAAACTAAGGTGGATTATCTGTTTATCAATCCTATGATCATATTTGGTTGTAAGCAATATGTTTCCATTTAAATAATATATTTTTGCTTCCTTTTATCTAGTTTTCTTTGGTTTTACATAATGAGTGTGAATGGTCCTAACCCAGACTATTTAGTAGAAAAAAGCACATGGCACTTAGAGGACTAAGCGCAGCCAAAACTTCTTTCATGATGTCCGGACTCCCTGGAACTTCATGTAAGTTTGAGTAAAATGCTCATATCCATTCTGAAATAAGGCATATCCAGTAAAATGTTCATATTCAGTCTGAAACAAGCTTCACTTCACAATGAGGATTCTGTAAGCTGGGGGCAGCTTTTGTATGTTGGGCTCCTGAATCTTGCCAGTAGTGGTCAGATGGCATACACTAGAACAGTTATCTCTAGCAAAAACACCTGGAAGAAACTTAGGATTTTTATGACAGCAATAAAAAAAGTTAAATGAGAATGATCAGATCTATATCATGAAATGAAACTATCTTCAGCCTAAGATACATCAAAGTCATCAAATTTTAATTTAATTATTGTGTTCCACATCATTACATTCAATTATATTTCACATTACAAATTGTAAACACAAAAATCTCATTCTCTAACAATTTTTCTTGTCCTCAATTTTAACCTCTTTCCTAGGAAATCTGCTCTTCACACTCTTAGACACACATTGTATCTTAATTCCTACATTTCCTAATTACTTATCCATCTTTTGAATTTATTTACTTCTTCCTGCACAGAAACATATGGCTGACTATCTTATCTATTCTCTCATCAATATCTTGGTTATCTGATATTCCTATTATTTATTGCACCTGCTCAGGAAAACCACAACTGAATCAATTCGTCAATCAGGTTTCTATGCTACTACTGGCATAGAAGTACTTCTAAATGACACACACAACCATATATATGTCAGTTCAAATTTAGTTCAGTCCAAATTTATGATGTGTAAGCTCATCTGGAGCCTTAGTGGAGCTCATCAGTCTTCACATTTTGTGCTTGTTTGTTTCTTTTCATGCTTTTCTGACCAGCTCTTTCTTGGATTCCATGAGTTCATCCCTCTCCTTCCATCTCATACAAATTAGCCTCTAGTAGGCTTCCATCATTGTCCTTGTTTTATTGTTCTTTCCACATGCTTTCTTTGGAAGTTTCCATTAACCATCATGGTTTTAACTTCTGTGTCTATTCTTAAGCCTGTTATTTCTACAACTTCTACCCTACATCTACCTACTCAGAGCTTCAGATTTATTTACTCTCAACACAAAGCAAGAATTATTCCATTAAACACAACTCAGATCATGACACAATTCTGTCAGTATTCCCAAAGGCTCCCCATCTTTCTAAAAATTAAATTTAGAATTGTTATCTGTGTCTACAAGGACCTGCACCTTCTGTATCATATCTCCTTGCCCCTATTACCTCTCTGAATTCACCTCTTACTGCTCTCTGCTCACTTTGTTCCAGGCACAGATGCCAGGAGGAGTCTGTCTCTGGGAATTTGCATTCTCTTTCTCCCCTTGTGAGTCCTCTTTTCAAGATATGCCAGTGACTCACTCTCTTATTTTGTGCAGTGTTTAACTGAAACTTATCAGTAAGAATTTTCTGGACCACTGTATTTAAAACTACACCCTTTCTTTAATCTCCACAAATACACTCTCTACTCACATCTCCTGCTTTGTTTTTTCCATTGCATTTATAACCATCTCTATATTTTACTTGTTTATTTTGTTTGTTATCTGCCTTCTTTCCCATTCCTGTCTTCCTCTGGTAGAGAACAAGCTCCTTGGAAGTAGGGATTCATGACTATCTTTATCGCTGTTATATCTCCAGAGCCTATCTTGATGCCTGTGATATAGGTGGTTGTTCACTAAATAGATGAATAAATGGAAAGATCATGGGCCTGGAATTGCAGAGTTTGCTAGTGGTAATCAGAAAATTAGACTCATAGAAAGGGAAAATTGGATTTCTTAAACCTCATAGGTACTTGTAAGAAGGTAATTGGGAAAAGGGAAGCTTATATGAACATTTCTCCTTTGGTAATTGCTGGCATAGAAGGAGAAATAAAAAGGAAAACATTGGAATTCACCTTATATGAAAGACTATGCATTAAGAAACATTAGTATCAAGGAGAAAAAAGTAAAGTTTTTTGTATTTCATTAGCAAAACTTGATTTCTCTTCTCTGTTTGGGTCTTTTTCTTTATTTCTTTCCTCTAGCTCTCATTCCCTCCCTCTTTTCTTTTTCTATTTTATATCTTCTTTCCTTTCTTTTCCATTCATACTCACATATGAATATATTTCTGTTACTATAAAAATTACTGCTTTTGCATATGATCCAGTTTTATTGAGGTGATTAATTGTGCTAATGGTCTACTGATATAACCAATTCAAAGATAGCCAAGAAAAGATTATGGCTACATTCATAACCCCAGTGTTATTTGAAATAAGCCCAGCAGTCAAATAAAAGAACTAAGTAAATGAAGACTCCAAATTTAGAGATATTTTTATGTTAGCACATTCCCTAACTGTCAAGGAAATTTTACTAATCTAGAAAGTTGCTGCAGTCTCTTTTGACTCAAAAACAAAGCTTCTAAATTGATAGTCCATGTAGTGTTAACAGCCACAAATATTTTGTCCTTAAGCTATGAATGTGTAATTCTTTCTTGAAAGTTGTTGGGTATTTGGCTCACTAAAATCCTGTGGAAATGAGTGCTGTAGATTTATTAGGCACTCTATAGAAATGCATTTCTTTTGTGTTTTAAATTAGTTGCATTTTAATGTCATTGAACATGCCCTTGTTCTTGTTTCCATTTGTGGTCTTGTATCCAGTGGGAATTTATAGGGCTCAGATTTATTTAAATTATGCTGATGTATTTGATCTTTCAACATACAGTGCATGGTAAAAATGGGTGGCTGTCCATATCCATAAATGAAATATGAGGGAAAAGGCATACTGATAAATTCTCTACTAAATCAGGTTTAATTAGATATCAAAAAGAGATAAAGCCGGGCAAAGTTTCCACTCTAAGTGTTACAGAGATCTAAGATCAGAAAAAGAGCATAGATATTCAATGGTATATTATAAAACATTTTCTGAATATTATAGATGACAATGCTAGAAAATACTTCCAATTCAGCCATTCCACTTATTGAGCAAAAACTTACTCTTTATTAACTTGTGTAATTTCACTTTACAAATAGCTTAGGAAAACCTTTCTACCCACGGTAATTAGGCCTATAGAACTATGATCATTCTTGTCTACCTTAGACCCTTAGAACTGTAGATATATCACTATTGATCCATATTTGGCATAGTTCTGTTTCTGCTTTTGGAATCGGGGCAGTATTTGAAACATTTTAAAGCATTATGTGTAAATTGAATTTTATGTTTAGTGCCCTGGGATTGCTTGTTAATTAAAATAAATTAGTGAATAATAATTTTCAGTATTAAATATTATTATATGGAGTTTACTTAAAATGAGATAGTCTTACTAGTTTCAAGGATTCACGTACGTATGCACAAAAATATGTTTCCTTGTCAAAAAGACATATATTATTACTTTTCACTTTCTCCATGTGCCTGTCCACTCTCTTCATCTGTCTTCTTCCAACACACTTGCCAAAGAAGAAGTAGGTACCACTAGAATAGTTTTAGGCATTTGAAAGACAGGTCAGGACACGTGGAGGAATAAATGTCTTATGTCTCTCCCATTCCGTTTGTTCCCCATGCTCACTCTTCACCCTGGCCTCACCTTTCCTTATATGGCATTATCTTTTGACAGGGGATTTAAAACATGGTAAACATGAGTGATGTTAGCTGTAACTAAGGTTGCTGAAATTATGCTTGTGGGTTCTTCTCCATATCTATTTTCTAATTATAAAAACAAAGTAGACTCTGAAAATTAGCAGTCAACAAATACATGTTTTAAGTTTATTTAAAAACAGTAGCAAATGCAGAGTGTTATGACTGAATATATTTAAATATGTTAAATACATGGTATTTAAAATGCTAGCAAAATGCTAAAAGAAATGATAGTACTAAAAAAATTGTGTCTCCATCCTTTAGAGATTTATGTAGCTAGTTCATTTCACAAATTTCATTATTTCCTGTGCTAGAGAACAGTTTGAAAATTTTACTAAAACTTCAGAATTTTGTGAAACTGACTGATTTAGCAAACTCTTTAAGTTACCACACCTAGATTTAACTTTCTTTCATAAACCCACAAGTCCTTTAAACTTTTATCAATGGTTTTGAGCCTCTGCTCTTTGCTCCTGTCCTTCCAATGCCCTAGTTTGTCATTCAGTATGATAGCCACAGTCCTCTCTTTTTTTTTTCAATTATACTTTAAGTTCTAGGGTGCATGTGCACAACATGCAGGTTTGTTACATATGTATACATGTGCCATGTTGGTGTGCTGCACCCATTAACTCATCATTTACATTAGGTATATCTCCTAATGATATCCCTCCCCACACTTCCCACCCCATGACAGGCCCCAGTATGTGATGTTCCCCTTTGTGTGTCCAAATGTTCTCATTGTTCAATTCCCACCTATGAGTGAGAACATGCGGTGTTTGGTTTTTTGTCCTTGCGACAGTTTGTTGAGAATGATGGTTTCCAGCTTCATCCATGTCCCTACAAAGGACATGAACTCATCCTTTTTATGGCTGCATAGTATTCCATAGTGTATATGTGCCACATTTTCTTCAACCAGTCTATCATTGTTGGACATTTGGGTTGGTTCCAAGTCTTTGCTATTGTGAGTAGTGCCGCAATAAACATACGTGTGCATGTGTCTTTATAGCAGCATGATTTATGTTCCTTTGGGTATATACCCAGTAATGGGATGGCTGGGTCAAATGGTTCCATGCTCATGGATATTTATTATTTTTAACAATTTTATGGTGAAGTCTTTAGGAATTTCTATGTATAAGATTATGTTATTCTGAAAACAGGGGCAATTTAAATTTTTCCTTTCCATGTAGTATGTCTTTTATTTCTTTCTCTTGTGTAGTTGTTCTGGCTAGGGTTTTTAATACTATGTTGAATAGAAGTGGTGAGAGTGGACATCCTTCTCTTGTTCCTAATCTTAGAGAAAAGGCTTTCAACTTTTAACTGTTAAGTATAATGTTAGTTGTGGATTCGTCACATATGCCCTTACTTGTGTTGAGGTACATTTCTTTTATTATTTCAATTTTTAAATATTGTATTTATTCTTTGTCTAGTTTTCTATAATAATTTTATTGCTTTTTAAGTGTATATGTTAAGGATTTTTAACTTTGTAATAGCTTTTTAACTGGTCTTCCTTCTTCTATCCTTGTCACTTACTGACCTATTTTTAACTCATCAATGAAGTAGATGATATTAAAATGTAGCTTATTCTATGTTATCCCATTGCTTAAAACTTTCCATGAGTTTGCCACTTTACTCAGAGAAAAGCTCTTAAAGTGGCTGACATGCTCTGATCCCATTTTCTCTCTAATATATTTTTTATTAACCTCCTATTATGATTTTATTCCCAATTCACTTTATTCCAACATGCCATTCCTTCCACCTCTCAGGGCTTTTGCATGTCTCAGGCCTCTGTTTCCTGTGCCTGGAATAGTCCCACCTAGATGTCTTCATGGTTGCCTATTTACCTCCTTCAGACCTTGTCTTTTCTTTTTTTTTTCGTTAATTTTATTATTATTATTTTACTTTAAGTTTTAGGGTACATGTGCACAACGTGCAGGTTTGTTACATATGTATACATGTGCCATGTTGGTGTGCTGCACCCATTAACTCGTCATTTAGCATTAGGTATATCTCCTAATGCTATCCCTCCCCCCTCCCTCCACCCCACAACAGTCCCCGGTGTGTGATGTTCCCCTTCCTGTGTCCATGTGTTTTCATTGTTCAATTCCCACCTATGAGTGAGAACATATGGTTTATGGTTGCATAGTATTCCATGGTGTATATGTGCCACATTTTCTTAATCCAGTCTATCGTTGTTGGACATTTGGGTTGGTTCCAACTCTTTGCTATTGTGAATAGTGCTGCTATAAACATACATGTGCATTTGTCTTTATAGCAGCATGATTTATAATCCTTTGGGTATATACCCAGTAATGGGATGGCTGGGTCAAATGGTATTTCTAGTTCTAGATCCCTGAGGAATCGCCACACTGACTTCCACAATGGTTGAACTAGTTTACAGTCCCACCAACAGTGTAAAACTGTTCCTATTTCTCCACATCCTCTCCAGCACCTGGGAAAACTGGCTAGCCATATGTAGAAAGCTGAAACTGGATCCATTCCTTACACCTTATATAAAAATTAATTCAAGATGGATTAAAGACTTAAATGTTAGATCTAAAACCATAAAAACGCTAGAAGAAAACCTAGGCAATATCATTCAGGACATAGGCATCATAGGCATGGGCAAGGACTTCATGTCTAAAACACCAAAAGCAATGGCAACAAAAGCCAAAATTGACAAATGGGATCTAATTAAACTAAAGAGCTTATGCACAGCAAAAGAAACTACCATCAGAGTGAACAGGCAACCTACAGAATGGGAGAAAAATTTTGCAACCTACTCATCTGACAAAGGGCTAATATCCAGAATCTACAATGAACTCAAACAAATTTACAAGAAAAAAAGAAACAACCCCATCAAAAAGTGGGCAAAGGATATGAACAGACACTTCTCAAAAGAAGACATTTATGCAGCCAAAAAACACATGAAAAAAAGTTCATCATCACTGGCCATCAGAAAAATGCAAATCAAAACCACAATGAGATACCATCTCACACCAGTTAGAATGGCTATCATTAAAAAGTCAGACCTTGTCTTAAATGTCACCCTCAATGAGATTTATGTTGGCCTCCTCATCAGAAATTACAAGTAAACTCAATTTTGATTGAAATTGAATTATTCTATAAAACAATTCTCAAAAAATGGGATTTTGAAAACAATGTTTAGTTTTTCTAGTGAAAAGATATACTTTTTCATTTATTCACGTCATTAACATTATTTGTAAAGTATTTTTTTAAGACCTTACTCATTTTTTAGGTTTATCCTTAAATATTTGTTTCTTGTCATAGGTGTTATTATTGACAAGCGTTTACTCTGTTCAGTCTCTTCCATGTTAATTACATGGGAAAATTATTATTATTATTATATTTGTTTTGAGACAGAGTTTTGCTCTTGTTTCTCAGGCTGTAGTGCAGTGGCGTGATCTCGGCTCACTGCAACCTCTGCCTCCCGGGTTCAAGCGATTCTCCCGTCTCAGCCTCCTGAGTAGCTGGGATTACAGGCGTGCACAACCATGGCTGGCTAGTTTTTGTATTTTTAGTAGAGACAGGGTTTCATCATGTTCACCAGGCTGGTCTCAAACTCCTGACCTCAGGTGATCCACACATCTCAGCCTCCCATAGTGCAGGGAGTACAGGCATGAGCCAGAGCACCTGGCCGGGAAAATTATTTTTAGATATTTATCTTACATTCCAAGTACTTTTGAATTCATTTTTCTAGTTTCAAGTGATTCTTTTAACTGTTCTGATACGCATTCAGTTGATATGCAAATCTTTATTTCTCAATTTCTTACTATGTTTTGCACCATATTATATTGAAAGAACTTTCATAACAATGTTGGAAATAATTAGAGGTAGGGTTGGGGTACTAAAGCTTATTAGAAAGTAGAAAGACATAAAGATTTTTACTTTTGCTAAAACAACAAAAACCTGCCAGATAAACTTAATACTTACACTTTTCTTTAAAATAACCAGAGAACTATAGATACAAAATACCCTGAAAGAATTAAACCCCAGTGGAAATAGCCCTTGCTTATTAGTCAAGAGATGGAGGATGCCTTTATGTTAGGGGACAGCTGTTGAGATTGGGATTGGACAAGCAGAGAAATGAAACTGCTATGAACTGCCAGTCTCTGTTGGGATGAGGAGAAATCAGTCAAATTTTGACAAAACTGTGGGCTGACATGTGGAATTTAAATCTAGTGGAGCCCCAAATACAATCTTCTGCTCAATATTTTCACATGATATTTTTGCTGAGATTGTAGGGGCTGGGGAGCTGGTCAGGAAAGCAGAGATCTTATCTTATGCAGTCATGTAAGATTGTGGTATCCTGGTTTGAGTCTTCAGTATCATTACTCCATGGTTCCCAATGTCAGACATTAGAATAAAAATAAGGATGGAATCAATTGTCCGCCTCTAACCAGTCTCTCACTCTTGATATCACAAAAAAGATATCACAGTTTTGGAGTTTTTTCTCAAGTAGTGGTGGTTGATCATGTTCATAAGGCCTTTAATAAGTCCTCGTGGACCAGAACATGATTATGCTTGAGGACCATTTTTTAATTATCTGGTTTGCTTTTATGAGGAAATTCACAAGGCTTATGTTGGATTTCAAAGAATAAAATAAATAGCCATGATGTG
The DNA here is from genome assembly GCF_000001405.40 of Homo sapiens. NCBI lineage: Eukaryota > Metazoa > Chordata > Mammalia > Primates > Hominidae > Homo > Homo sapiens. The sequence continues at coordinate 87,551,946 of NC_000005.10, forward strand.
CTGAGCAGTAAAACTAACTTGTAACCGGGACTCAGAACATCTGTTTTATTTTAACTTTTGTTTTAAGTAAATTTTCTAGTAGACAATAAATTCAGCAGTGTTTTGGGCCCAGTTGCTTGGAAGCAGATCCTGAGACAGAGATTCTTGTTTACATGATGTATTAGGAAGTGCTCATAGGAAAAGGAGCAAGAGCAGCAGCAGGATAGAGTAGGTGTGGTCTGGACTGGAGCCTAGCTTCAGTCTGATCATACAGAATCTCTGGAGCACAAACTACACAAAATTAATCCTACCCTGAGGCAAGGAGGCAGCCTTCTGTACCTCTCTGTCAGCTTTCCATCATAGAAGACCTTCTCCATTCTGATAGTATTGAGCATAGTACAGGTTCTTCTCATACTTCAATAGTTTTGATTTTCCTTTTAATTTTTTCTTTTTACATTAAAATTTGTGATCCAATTGGTATTTATTTTAGTGTGAGATATGGAGTAAATATGCAGTTTCCCAAACGTTGTTTATTGAATTGCAAATCTTTTCCACACTGATTTGTAATTCAATTTTTACATATATATGTTAAATTCTCATATATATATATATATATATGAGTCTATTTCTGGACTTTTGAAATGCATTCTTATTTTCATGAGCCAGTACTGCACTGCTTTTACTTATATAGTTTTATAGCATAATTTGAGAGTTCGTTGGTAGTTGGTATAGTCCCCCTTATTACTATTTTTTCTTCACATTTTTTCTGACATTTTGCTGCTACATAAAAAATTTTAAATCTGTCAGTCTAGTTAAAAACACTTCATTTTTATTCTTATTAGGATTGTGATATGTTTACAAATTAACTTAGTAGGGGATGGGGACATTATCATATTGAGTCTTCTTATCTAAGATCAGGTAATGCTGTTCTATTTGTTCATGTGTTATTTTCTTATCTGTAGTTGCCTTTTGAGGTTTTCCTTCTATAGTTCTTGCTTCTTTCATATTGTAGCTTCCACCTGTAATACAGCTTTTTTGTATAAAGAAAAGCCACTGATTTATATTTATAAGTTATCTATCTATCTGAAATTTCTTGTCTTTGTGATAGTTCACTGTCTATTACATTTCTCAAGATACAATTATATTATCTACAAAAAATGATACTCTATCATTTCTAATTTCTATACTAATATTTTCTCCCTCTTTTATAAGTATACTGATTATTTTCTGTAGAGAAATATTAAGTAATTGTTATTTTACTGGGCATCTTTGCATTGTTAAGTGATAGAATTTATTCCTGTTTCTTTCTTTTTGTTCCTGGACCCATACATTTTGGCTTTTGGAGAAACAACATCATATAATGATTATAAATTGACAGCATATACTGCATACTTGAGGACATTGCCTTAGAACTGCAAGCTGTTGCCATCCAACTGGTTCTTAACTACCTTCTATAAGTCACTGCATTAGTCTATCAAGCCAACTGCTTTAGAGTGTCAGTAAGACCAGTGAATACCTTAAACATGGACACATTGCTACATTTTATTTGTGATAAAATGAGTTTCTTGGTCAGAATTGATGCTGTGTATAATTCTATGATGGAGGATAAAGCATTGTGTAAGTCCAAAGATGGTAGTTTTGGCAGAAGTTTAAGGATAGAAAAGGCAAATCTACAGTCATCAGTGTCTATTCCAGTAAGAACAAAGCACTTTCCCTTCCATGATGGAAACAATCTGTATTGCTGATATGAAGAAATACCCAAGACTGGGTAATTTATAAAGGAAAGAGGTTTAATTGACAAACAGTTCCATAGGGCTGGGGAGGCCTCAGAAAACTTACAATCATGGTGGAAGGGGAAGCAAGCATGTCCTTCTTCACATGATGGTAGGAAGGAGAAGAATGAGAGCCGAGCAAAGGGGGAAGCCCTTTATAAAACCATCAGATTTTGTGAGAACTTAGCATCATGAGAATAAGCATGGGAGAAACTGCCCCTATGATTCAATTATCTTCTTCTAGGTCCCTCCCACCACATGTGGGGATTATGGGAACTACAATCAAGGTAAGATTTGGGTGGGGACACAGCCAAACCATATCATTCCACCCTGGCCCCTCTCAAGTCTCATGTTCTCACAATTCAAAACCCAATCATGCCCTTCCAACAGTCTCCCAACGTCTTAACTCATTCCAACATTAACTCAAAAGTCCAAGTCCAAAGTCTCATCGGAGACAAGGCAAGTCCCTTCTGCCTAGGAGCACATAAAATTGAAAGCATGTTAGTTACTTCCTAGATACAATGGAGGTACAGGTATTGGGTAAATATATCTTTTCCAAATGGGAGAAATTGACCAAAATGATGGGGCTACTGGCCTCACGGAAGTTGAAAATCCAATGAGGCAGTAATTAAATGTTAAAGCTCCAAAATAATGTCCTTTGACTCCATGTCTCACATCCAGCTCATGCTGATGCAAGAGGTGAGCTCCCATAACCTTGAGTAGCTCTGCCTCTGTGGCTTTGCAGGGTGCAGCCACCCTACCAGTTGCTTTCATGGGCTGGTATTGAGTGTCTTCAGTTTTTCCAGCTGCACAGTGCAAGCTGTCAGTGGATCTACCATTCTGGGGTCTGGAGGATGGTGGCCTCTTCTCACAGCTCCACTAGGCAGTGCTCCATTGGGGACTCTGTATGGGGGCTCCAACCCCACATTTCCTTTCTGCACTGCCCTAGCAGAGGTTCTCCATGAGGGCCTTCCCCATTCCTTCAGCAAAATTCTGCCTGGACATCCAGGTGTTTCCATACATCCTCTGAAATTTAGGCAGAGGTTCCCAAATCTCAATTCTTGACTTTTATGCACCCACAGGCTTAACACCACATGAATGCTACCAAGGCCGGGGGCCTGTGCCATCTGAAGCAACAGCCCAAGCTGTGCCTTGGCCCCTTTTAGCCATGGCTGTAGAGAGGCTGAGATGCAGTCCTGAGGCTGCACACAGACCAGGAAACCATTTTTCCCTATTAGACCTTCAAACGTGTGATGGGGGGAACTACTGTGAAGGTCTCTAACATACTTTGGAGACATTTTCCCCGTTGTCTTGGTAATTAACATTTGGCTCCTCGTTATTTATGCAAATTTCTTCAGCAAGCTTGAATTTCTCCCCAGAAAATGGGTTTTTCTTTTCTATCGCATTGTCAGGCTGAAAATTTTCCAAACTTTTATGCTCTGCTTCCTTTTGAACACTTTTCCACTTAGAAAATTTCTTCCACCTTATTCCCCAAATCATCTATCTCTCTCAAGTTCAAAATTCCACAGATCTCTAGGACAGGGCAAAAAGTCACCAGTCTCTGTGCTAAAGCACAGTAATAGTCACCTTTGCTCCAGTTCCTAACAAGTTCCTCATTTCCATCTGAGACCACCTCAGCCTGGACTTCATTGTCCCTATCACTATTAGCATTTTGATCAATCATTCAACAAGTCTCTAGGAAGTTCCAAATTTTCCCACATTTTTCTTCTTCTGAGTCCTCTAAACTGTTGCAACCTCTGCCTGTTATCCAGCTCCAAAGTCACTTTCACATTTTCAGGTATCCTTATAGCAGCATCCCACTCTACTGGTAACAATTTACTGTATTAGTGTATTCTTATGCTGCTGTGAAGAAATACCCAAGACTGAGTAATTTATAAAGGAAAGAGGTTTAATTGACTCACTGTTCCATAGGGCTGGGGAGGTCTCAGAAAATTTACAATCATGGTGGAAGTGGAAGCAAACACATCTTTCTTCACATGGTGGCAGGAAGGAGAAGAATGAGAGCCAAGTGCAGGGGGAAGCCCCTTATAAAATCATCAGATCTTGTAAGAACTTACTATCATGAAAACAGCATAGGGGAAACCACCCCCATGATTTGATTACGTCCCACTGGGTCCCTCCCATGGCATGTGGAGATTATGGGAACTATAATTCAAGATGAGATTTGTGTGGGGACACAGCCAAAGCATATCACAATCCAATTTAATCAGTCTGCTACCAAGTAGCTAGCTGATTCTTTGGCAGATGGGTTTTAGTGAGTGAAAGTCCATGCTGCTTAGTGCATAACCTCCCTATCTGCTGCTATGGTCACTTTATTCATGCTTTCATTGGACAATGACTTAGGTGGCTAGAGAAGGATGTTGACTGATGTCCTCAGATTAGATAATCCTCCACCTGTGTATTAAAATCTTTCTTTGCTGAAGTCATCATTTGATGAGAACTCACATGGGATACAACTCCTACATTAGTGTAAATCCATATATCTGACCACCCTTTTTTCCAGGCAAATCGAACATTGCTTACAGTTGGCCTCCTGGAAGGATTTCCCTTCTTCAGTGCCTTTCAAACCAACCCTGGGTGGGGTTGAAGTGATGCAGCTATCCACTTCTGGATGATGCCTGCATGTAATACAGTACTATCTGTAAACAGAGATTGAGATTTTTTCTTTCTCAGTTTGAAAATTGTTTACTTCTTTAATGCAATTCAGGTTTTCTTAACTGACTGTTCATATCCTTTGTCCATTTTTCCACTGGTGATCTCTGAATAGTGGTTGTCCTACATATTCATCTTGATTTTTCTTGCTAATAGTTTATCTAAAAATGTTTGATACTGTGGTTTTCAGAGTGTCTATGAATGAAATAATAATTTAAGTTTTTTTTATACTTACGTATGTTTTGTCTTCAGTAGTCATTACATTTTAGGAGTGGGTGAGAGGAAGGCAGGTCAACTCCTAGTTCTAGGTTACATGCAGTGTTTCCTGTGAATATGTGGGACAGGCAGTCTAGTGGTCTTCCTAACTGCTGAAGTAAATAGTACTTTATTCTGGGTGTGGGTAGCTTTAGAACATTTGAATTCTGAGTAGAACTGACTTTCGTTTTTGCTTTTTTAGTATGTTATTGATGGTCAAATTTTTTTATTGTTTGTATCCCAATACTCATTGTGAATCTCTTTCCAGAAAGATTGTCCACTGTCTTGAGAGAACAGCTTTTAGGTCTTGTCTAATGCCTAAGCTCTACCATGGCCGCCAATTGTGATCATATTCTACACACATGAAAAATAGAAAGGGGGAAAGGTGGTTTTACTGACTCAGCAGTGCTGAAACCAGTTCTCTAATTAATTATTTTGTGATTTCTCCTGTTGTTTGCACTTGTTTGCTTTGAGCAGGGAGCTTTTCTGTGGCTCCTTTTGGAAGGACCCATCTTAACCCTGGACAAATTCCTGTATCTGAAGCTTGATGTAATAGTTTAAAAGGATTAAGAGGCTTTTATTTGAATAAAGGTAGTATTAAAGAAAATCTCAGAGAAAAATTACTCTGGGCCAGTTACATTTCTATATGATTAGAGAGGCTATAAACATTTTATATAAATATAATGTCAACGTTGACACTTACTTTTGGTCTAACTTTGGACAAGTTGTGTAACCATTATATACCGCAGATTTGCTTTTTATGACCCTCAATAGTTTTGTTGTGAAATGAAATTAGTTGACATTTACAAAAAAATGATTGGAATCATGCCTAGCATAGATATGCTCTAAATTATCTTCTATTATTTTTTATATTACACAATTTTAGGTTATACAAATATTTTTGGATTTGTCACTGTCTATGCTGATGTGTCATTAACATTTTTAACAATGTCTTTTTTTAAAAGTTGGAATAACTATGAACTTAGAGATACATTGTAAATAACAATAAAAATAGCTTTTCACTTGAACCATTTGAAAATTATTTACCATCCTGGTTCCCTGTAATCCAAAATATTCTATTGTGGACTTCCCACAATTAAGCAAATTTTTCAATACAACCACAATATCAACATGAAAATTAAGTAACCAACACTGATACTTTATATACAATCCTCAAACCTCAGACTCCAGTCAAGTTTAACCAATCATTGTCCAAATAATTTTCGTTACCAAAAGAGTACAATTCAGAATTATGTGTTGCATTTAGCTGTCATGCCTCTTCTAGCTTGGACCATTTTCTCAGTCTTTTCTTAAAAAGGCTTTCATGGCCTTAACTTTTCAACATGATAGGAGTGTTATTTTGCAGAATGTCACTCAGTTTGGTTTTGTCTGATGTTTCCTCATGATTAGATTCAATTTATACATCTTTGACAGAAGTACCACAAAACTGATGGTACAGTCTTTCTTATCATTCCATTCTATAAAATGATGTAGAAGTTTTGATTTGTCTCATTACTGCTGATATTCCCTTTGATCTTTTGATTAAGGTAATGTTTGTCAGGATATCCTTTGTCAAATTACTCTTTTTACTTCATAATTAATAAGTATTTTGGTGGTTGACTTGCGAAGCTAGATAAATATTCTTTTTCTCAGAAGCTTTCAATTATTCATTCATCAGAATGGACTATTTTATTCAATGGGGTATAATCCGTTTGAGTAATTTTTTATTGGTATTTTTGCCCAAGATTTGACCACTGGGAGCTTCTTGAAGCTGACTCCTGTGTCCCTTTTTGACATGGCACCCTCCCTCTTGGAGGACTTCCTTGCTTTCCAGCACAGCAAAATCTTTCAAGCATATCTTAACTTTTCCTTCCCCATCCCTGGAATCAGATATTTCTCTTAGGAACCCTTATTCCTTTAAGTGGAAAATGGTATCCAAAACCAAATCTAATCTAATCTAATGCTTTGGAGGATTTTCACTGGTACTGATAGAGACAGGAAGCAGCCAAATGCCTAGGCAAATAGAAGCAGGTCCCCAGTGAAACCCCACCTCCACGCTGAAGACAGTTTAAAGCCTGAAAGCCAAGCAAAGGGTTAAATCACTAGACTGGAATGAGAATGTATCTTCCTCTTTGGCGTGCTTTCCTCAGGTTTGTCTCCACCCTTGACCTATTTTACATATACCTACCCCTTTCTAATTGGTTTTCTACACTGTCGTGCCTGTCTTCAAATGGTATCTTTACTTTAATCTTTTTTGTATATTCATAAACCAATCAGAATGCACTCCCTATTCTGAGTCCATAAAAGGCCCCAGACCCAGCTATACAAGGAAACTTTCCCACTTTCAGTTAGGGGGACCAAACCCATGTCTGCTCTCAGCTGAAATCCATTTTCATTGCTCAATAAAATTCTTCTCCACCCTCATCACCCTTCAATGTCCAGCATAACCTCATTCTTCTTGGGCAGGGTACAAGAGCTTGGGAACTGCCAAACATGGGTACAATTTATAACACCTGTGAGGTGGGGCATGCCAGCATGGCCGAGTGAACCCTGGGGCATTGCTGGCCAGGGTTCCCTGGCTTGCAATGTGACCAAGAAGAAAAAATCCTACATCAGTACCATGTCTTCTAAGTGGAGAGAACTAAGGAATATGTGTACATATGCACACATATATGCATGTATACCTATATTTCATTCTATTTCTATTTTTATATATTGAAAAACCAGTAGTGCACTGATACCTTTGATTCTAGACCAACATCACAGGGTTAAATATAATTTTATCCCTTTTTATATCTGTGATTTTGTTTTCTGACAGTGAGGAATTTGTGTGTTTATATGTATTTATTTCATCTTTCTGCCTGTATATAACCTGTCTCCCATGCACATGTCCACCTCATTCTACTTGGCTCTGACATCCTTCTGTTTGGGGATGCCCTCTTTCCCCTACTCATGGTTAACCCTCTGTACTTCTCTGTGTCACTGAGCCTGTCAACCTCACCTGGGCCCTGAAACTTTCCAGGACAATTTTCCACTCCGTATAGATTCCTTCCTCATTCCATCTGGGTTTTGATTCTCTACATTTGGCCTCTGCCTTCCACTCCCATCATGGGTACATCCACCTTGCTCTAAGCTACCTAAGTGCTTTAGTGCTGAATTTTTCTTGAAGGGAAAGGGATAAGTGTAGAGGAAGCTCCAGAGAGGGCTTTTGCTAGAAGAAATAGATGTGAGTGTTGTTAGTATATAGAATGTTTACGGTTGAAATCATTCACTTCTTATAGCTTGTGATCACATCTCCTCCCCCATATGGTCATTAACACCCTGGTCCTCACAACCTCAGGGCCTGTAGCTGGTTAGAAACACCCATGAACGTGCAAAGTCTCAGCTGTAGTTTTATTTCTTTCTTCTCTCTAACACCTGGGGATATCCCTTTTTTCATTTTGTATTTGGACGTGTATTTACAATTTTTGGTTATATTGTATCCAGCCTGTCTATGTGTTTATAATGAGAAAAATGATGATTTGTACCAGTTTATTCCACCATGTTGCCCAGACATCCCTTTGACACAGTTTTTAAACATTTTTCTGTCAGATTTATGTGATCACTTTCTGAACTAAATCAAAGGAAAGTAGCAGATGATGACAGATGTTTCTATTTAGTATTTATTTATCAAAAATATTTCCAGCAGGTACTATATTTAGTTCAGTTGTCAGAAAAGTAATTTAGCTTGAAGCATTTCCTCTTAAAATGTAACAACACAGTGTATTATATTAATGGCATGTCTCTCATTATAGTTTATGAATCAGATGAGATAAAATGAAGTATTGAAATAACAGGAGGGCCTCACCTCCATGTTCAGGCTTTTCCCCAGGCAATGTCACCATGGACAAGAAGAACCAGAGAGAAGAGAAACCTGAATTCTTAAGGTTTAAGTTTCAGAATCTGTGGTGTAAATTTGAGGGAGACAGAGAAGCTATTATATTCTATGATGGCTGCAAATTCCTCCTGATAGAAAGGAGTGAAATCTCTCTGTGACTGAATTTTTGAGAGGTGAGAGCCACTAAAGTGGTTGTTGAGTCAGAGTGAGAGTCCATCCTCTTCATGAGCAAGCACCATCCTTCACCAGTGTGAGCAATGTGGTGGCCAATTAGATCTTCCATTCACGTGACTACTGAACTAAATAGACGGCTGATTAAGGAGTCTACTTAGTTCTAAGTAGTAGTTAGGAGTTCTCCACCTGGCCTTCCTGATGCTATGTTGTGAGGAAAACATCAACTCCTCTTTCAGTGATGCAGGACCACTAACAGACTGGCTTTCACTATCCCACCAAAGAAGTGGAGCCATGTCTCCTGCATGCATGTTTCTTTAGTTAATACACTACACAAGGCAGCCACATCTAAGGATGCACAGTGCACCTGGGAGATTCCTTTATTAGTTGGAATATGTTGGCACTTTTGCTATAACTTTGTTGTCTCCACATATAAATTATTTGTATATTTTGTAATGATGATAGCAAAGCAGATACCATAGAGCATGTTATTCCAGCAAACTCAGTGTATTATAATAATTTTCTGACAAATGAAAATAAAGTATCTTTTTCTAACAGTGTTGTTATTTGTTTTCTTCTGAAAGAACACTCAATAAGTGAAAGACCTTTTTGATATAATATCTAAATAATGAGGTTTTCTTGCTTTTCCCACTGATGTTATGATTGATTAGTATCTTAAAATAAAATAAAAAGTAGAAAACCTGTTTCGTATTAATGTCATGGCTAATTTGATATTTTATATTTTAGTTTATATTATTGCCATTTTTTACTAAGTTCCCAATTTAAATTCATAAGTACCTTCATTATGACATGACTCACTTTGTAATAATCTATATAAACTTACCATTAATTATCCACAAAGTAGGTACTAGACAGATAAATACACTAATAATTTAAAGATGATACTTATGTAGCTATACAAATTGCTTTTTAATAAGGCATATTTCATCAGTATAAAAATTAAATGTATTATAATTCAGTGGTTTGACATATGTTTTATTTTTAAAAGCTGCAAGTTCTAAGATAAAATGTTAACTTTTTGAAAAATTATGTTTATAATATTAAAAGAATATTATGGCCTTTCCGTGTGGTCCACAGATCAACAGCATTGGTATCCTGGGAACTTGTTAGAAATGCAGACTCTCAGGCCCTAAAACATAAACTGCATTTTAAAGACATACCATGTGGTTTGCATGCACATTAATATTTGAAGAGCACGGTTCTAGACGACATATGTAATTTGGAGAATTATATGAAAATTATACATACAACTACGTAAAAATTTACATTTGACACTTGACAGTGTAATAACAATAAACATAGCCATGGAGTATGATATTGAATGGACATCAACATATAAGGAATTGTAAAACTTGCAGTTGTTTTCTAAAATGTGGTATGACTTCTGTTGAAATATTGCAGCATATTCACAGTAATAATTTAAGACATATTTCTAAATACTTTTGTAGTTTTTAGTATTTGTTTCTTTTCCGATATTGGTTCTCACTGAAGAATGTTGCATCTTAAAACTTTATTAAAAAATTAATAATTAATTTTTTAATATTTTAAACTATTAAAAATATTTAAACTATTAAAATTTTAATATTAAAATTTTAAACTATTAAAAATATTTAAACTATTAAAAAATTAAAAAATTAAAGTCAATAATATCTAATAAAAGGTTTCTGTCTAGTCATTATTTTTTTAATACTTAAGTTCTGGGATACATGTGCAGAATGTGCAGGTTTGTTACATAGGTATACATGTGCCATGGTGATTTGCTGCACCCATCAACCTGTCATCAACATTAGGTATTTCTCCTAATGCCATCCTCCCCTTGGCCCCCACCCCCAGACAGGACCCAGGGTGTGATGTTCCCCTCCCTGTGCCCATATGTTCTCATTGTTCAACTCCCACTTATAAGTGAGAACATGCGGTGTTTGGTTTTCTGTTCCTGTGTTAATTTGCTGAGAATGATGGTTTCCAGCTTCATCCATGTCTCTGCAAAGGACATGAACTCATCTTTTTTTATGGCTGCATAGTATTCCATGGTATATATGTGCCACATTTTCTTTATCCAGTCTATCATTGATGGGCATTTGGGTTGGCTCCAAGTCTTTGCTATTGTGAATAGTGCTGCAATGAACATATGTGTGCATGTATCTTTATAATAGAATGATTTATAATCCTTTGGGTATATACCCAGTAATGGGATTGCCAAGTCAAATGGGATTTCTAGATCTAGATTCTTGAGAAATCACCACACTGTCTTCCACAATGGTTGAACTAATTTACACTCCCACCAACAGTGTAAAAGCATTCCTATTTCTCCACATCCTTCCCAGCATCTGTTGTTTCCTGATTTTTTAATGATCACCATTTCTAACTGGTGTGACATGGTAGCTCATTGTGGTTTTGATTTGCATGTCTCTAATGACTGGCGATGATGAGCTTATTTTCATGTTTGTTGGCCACATAAATGTCTTCTTTTGAATAATGTCTGACCATATCTTTTGCCTACTTTTTGATGAGGTTGTTTGTATTCTCTTGTAATTTTGTTTAAACTTCTTGTAGATTCTGGATATTAGCCCTTTGTCAGATGGGTAGATTGCAAAAATTTTCTCCCATTCTGTAGGTTGTCTGTTCACTCTGATGACAGTTTCTTTTGCTTTGCAGAAGCCCTTTAGTTTAATTAGATCCCGTTTGTCAATTTTTACTTTTGTTGCCATTGCTTTTGGTGTTTTAGTCATGAAGTCTTTGCCCATGCCTATGTCCTGAATGGTATTGCCTAGATTTTCTCCTAAGGTTTTTATGGTTTTAGGTCTTATGTTTAAACCTTTAATCCATCTTGAGTTTTGTTAAGGTGTAAGGATGGGATCCAGTTTCAGTTTTCTGCATATGGCTAGCCAGTTTTCCCAACACCATTTATTAAATAGGGAATGTTTTCCCCATTGCTTGTTTTAGTCAGGATTTTGTCAAAAATTAGATGGTTGTAGATGTGTGGCATTATTTCTGAGGCCTCTATTCTGAACTTTTGGTCTATATATCTGTTTTTGGTACCAGTACCAAACTGTTGTGGTTACTGTAGGCTTGTAGTATAGTTTGAAGTCAGGTAGCCTGATGACTCCAGCTTTGTTCTTTTGCTTAGGATTGTGTTGGCTATATGGGCTCTTTTCGGTTCCGCATGAAATTTAAAGTAGTTTTCTCTAATTCTGTGAAGAAAGTCAATGGTAGCTTGATGGGGATAGCATTGAATCTATGGATTCCTTTGGGCAGTTTGGCCATTTTCACAATATTGATTCTTCCTATCCATTAGCATGAAATATTTTTCCATTTGTTTGTGTCCGCTCTTATTTCCTTGAGCAGTGGTTTGTAGTTCTCCTTGAAAAGGTCCTTCACGTTCCTTGTAAGTTGTATTCCTAGGTATTTTATTCTCTTTGTAGCAATTGTGAATGGGAGTTCACTCATTATTTGGCTCTCTGTTTGTCTGTTATTGGTGTATAGGTATGCTTGCGATTTTTGCACATCGATTTTGTATGCTGAGACTTTGCTGTTATTGCTTATCAGCTTAAGGAGTTTTTGGACTGAGACGATGGGGTTTTCTAAATATACAATCATGTCATCTGCAAACAGAGATAATTTGACTTCCTCTCTTCCTATTTGAATACGGTTTATTTCTTTCTCTTGCCTGACTGCCTGGTCGGAGCTTCCAACACTATGTTGAATAGGAGTGGTGAGAGAGGGCATCCTTGTCATGTGCTGGTTTTCAAAGGGATTGCTTCCAGCTTTTGCTCATTCAGTATGATATTGGCTGTGCATTTGTCATAAATAGCTCTTATTATTTTGAAATACGTTCCATCAATACCTAGTTTATTGAGTGTGTTTTAGCATGAAGATGTGTTGAATTTTATCCGAGGCCTTTTCTGCATTTATTGAGATAATCAAGTGGTTTTTGTCGTTAGTTCAGTTTATGTGATGGATTACATTTATTGATTTGCATATGTTGAAACAGCCTTGCATTCCAGGGATGAAGCCAACCTGATCGTGGTAGATAAACATTTTAACATGCTGCTGGAGTTGGTTTGCCAGTATTTTATTGAGGATTTTCACATTATTATTTTGAAATACATTCCATCAATACCTAGTTTATTGAGTGTGTTTTAGCATGAAGTTGTGTTGAATTTTATCCAAGGCCTTTTCTGCATTTATTGAGATAATCAAGTGGTTTTTGTCATTAGTTCAGTTTATGTGATGGATTACATTTATTGATTTGCATATGTTGAAACAGCCTTGCATTCCAGGGATGAAGCCAACCTGATCGTGGTGGATAAACATTTTAACATGCTGCTGGATTTGGTTTGCCAGTATTTTATTGAGGATTTTCACATCGATGTTCATCAGGGATATTGACCTGAAATTTTCTTTTTTTGTTGTGGTTGTGTCTCTGCCAGGTTTTGGTATCAGAATGATGCTGGCCTCATAAAACGAGTTAGGGAGGAGTCCCTCTTTTTCTATTGCTTGGAATAGTTTCAGAAGGAATGGTACCAGCCCTCTTTGTACCTCTGGTAGAATTTGGCTGTGAATCTGTCTGGTCCTGGGCTTTTTTTAGTTGGTAGGCTTTTAATTACTGCCTCAATTTCAGAACTAGTTATTGGTCTATTCAGGGATTCAACTTTTTCCTGGTGTAGTCTCTGGAGGGTGTGTGTGTCCAGAAATTTATCCATTTATTTTAGATTTTCTAACTTATTTGAGTAGATGTGTTTATAGTATTATCTGATGGTAGTTTGTCCTTCTGTGGGATCAGTGGTGATACCCCCTTTATCATTTTTTTATTGTGTCTATTTGATTCTTCTCTCTTTTCTCCTTTATTAGTCTAGCTAGCAGTCTATCTATTTTGTTAACCTTTTCAAAAAACCAGCTCCTGGATTCATTGATTTTTTGAAGGGTTTTTCCTTCAGTTCTGCTCTGATCTTAGTTATTTCTTATCTTCTGCTAGCTTTTGAATTTGTTTGCTCTTGCTTCTCTAGTTCTTACAATTGTGATGTTAGGGTTTTCAATTTTAGAACTTTCCTGCTTTCTCCTGTGGGCATTTAGTGCTGTATATTTCCCTGTAAACATTGCTTTAGCTGTGTCCCAGAGACTCTGGTACATTGTGTCTTTGTTCTCATTGGTTTCAAAGAACTTATTTATTTCTCCCTTAATTTCGTTATTTACTCAGTAGTCATTCAGGAGCAGATTGGTCAGTTTCCATGTAGTTGTGCAGTTTTGAGTGAGTTTCTTAATCCTGCTTTGTAATTTGATTACACTATGATCTGAGGACTGTTTTTTATGATTTCTGTTCTTTTGTATTTGCTGAGGAGTGTTTTACTTCCAATTATGTGGTCAATTTTAGAATAAGTGAGATGTGGTGCTGAGAAGAATGTATATTCTGTTGATTTGGGGTGAAGAGTTCTGTAGATGTCTATTAGGTCCACTTGGTCCAGAGCTGAGTTCAAGTCCTGAATATCCTCGTTAATCTTCTGTCTTGTCGATTTGTCTAATATTGACAGTGGGGTGTTAAAGTCTCTCACTATTATTGTGTCAGAGTCTAAGTCTCCTTGTAGGCCTCTAAAAACTTTCTTCTGCTTGATCAATTCAGCAATTGATACTTATGTATGCTTTGCAAAGTTCTCTTGCTGTGTTTTTCAGTTCCATCAGGTCATTTATGTTCTTCTCTAAACTTGTTATTCTAGTTGGCAGTTCCTGTAACCTTTTATCAAGGTACTTAGCTTCCTTGCATTGGGTTAGAACATGCTCCTTTAGCTCAGAGGAGTTTGTTATTATCCACCTTCAGAAGCCTACTTCTGTCATTTCATCAAACTTATTCTCTGTCCAGTCTTGTTCCCTTGTTGGTGAGAAGTTGTGGTCCTTTGCAGAAGAAGCATTCTGGTTTTTGGAATTTTCGCCTTTTTGTGCTAGTTTTTCCTGAGCTTTGTTGATTTGTCTACCTTTGGTCTTTGATGTTGGTGACCTTCGGATGGGGTTTTTGATTGGTCATTTTTTTTGTTGATGTTGATGCTGTTGCTTCCTGCTTGTTAGTTTTCCTTCTAACAGTCAGGCTCCTCTTCCGCAGGTCAGCTGGAGTTTGCTGGGGGTCTACTCCAGACCCTGTTTTCCTGGGTCCTGTTTTCCTGCAGCTGAGGCTGCAGAACAGCAAAGATTGCTGACTGCTTCTCCCTCTGGAAGCCTCGTTCCAGAGGCTCACCTGTCAGATGCCAGCTGGAGCTCTCCTTTATGAGATGTTTGTCGACCCCTGTTGGGAGATGTCTCCCTGTCAGGAGGCTTGGGGGTCAGGGACCCACTTAGTGGGGCAGTCTGTCCTTTAGCAGAGCTTGAGCACTGTGCTGGGAGGTTCGCTGTTCTCTTCAGAGCCAGCAGACAGGAACGTTTAAGTCCGCTGAAGTTGTGTCCACAACCGCCCCTTCCCCCAGGTGCTGTGTCCCAGGGAGATGGGAGTTTGATGTATAAGCCCCTGACTGGGTCAGCTGCCTTTCTTTCAGAGATGCCCTGCCCACAGAGGAGGAATCTAGAGAGGCAGTCTGGCTACAGAGGCTTTGTGGCCCTGAGGTGGGCTCTGCCTACTTTGAACTTCCCAGTGGCCTTTTTTTACACTGTGAGGGGAAAACTGTCTACTCAAGCCTCAGTAATGGTGGACGCCCCTCCCCCGACCAAGTTTGAGTGTCCCAGGTCAACTTCAGACTGCTGTGCTGGCCCCGAGAATTTCAAGCCAGTGGATCATAGCTTGTTGGGCTCCATGGGGGTGGGATCCGCTGAGCAAGACCACTCGACACCCTGGCTTCAGCCCCCTTTCCAGGGGAGCGAATGATTCTGGCGTTCAAGGCACCACTGGGGTATGAAAAAAAAAAACTCCTGCAACTAGCTCAGTGTCTGCCCAAATGGCCGTCCAGTTTTGTGCTTGAAACCCAGGGCCCTGGTGGTGTAGGCACCTGAGGGAATCTCCTGGTCTGCAGGTTGCAAAGACAGTGGGAAAAGCATAGTATCTGGGCTGGATAGCTTTGTCCCTCATGGCACATTCCCTCATGGCTTCCCTTGGCTAGGGGAGGGAATTCCCTGACACTTTGTGCTTCTCGGGTGAGGCAATGCCCCCCCTTGCTTCTGCTTGCCCTCATGGGCTGCACCCACTGTCTAACCAACTCCAAATGAGATGAGCCAGGTACCTCAGTTGGAAATGCAGAAACCACCCACTTTCTGCGTTGGTCTTGCTGCGAGCTACAGACTAGAGCTCTTCTTATTTGGCCATCTTGCCCAGGAATCTCTAGTCATCTTTTCTATAAAAAGGGAGATACTGGAAGAAGCAAACATCAAAACAACCACAGAGAATTTTGTTTCCATGAAAACAAAAGAAATAAGTGTTTTATAACAAACTATTATATCCTAATGACTTGGTTCTTAATTCTCAATTTTCTTTTACCTTAAGTTCATTATCTGATTTGTGTAATTTATATAAAATAAATTTGTTCTTTTTATTAATGTGAAAACAATAGTACACTCTTCTAAGAATCTCTACCTGAGGAAGGAATACTTTATTTTATATTTACCTGCAGATGCCATAAGCATTAACAATGGCCCTAGAAAACCAGTTAGTCATAGTTATGAAAAAAAAAAATCCCTGACATGGCTATGGCCAGATTAGACTCAGCTTGCAATCTCCTATTGGTCTTACATGTCATTTAATAACATTAATTTCATTCACTGGTTAACATGATGATGATGATGTTTTAGTGCTTTGGGACTGTTAATACAATTATTTCTAAGACAATTACTCTGCCTTTTTGTGATGTCTTGCCTTTCTGTGATTCACACTTACAAAAATAATTTTTTCTGAAATCAATTACATAAAACAAGATTCTAATTAATTTCTGCCATGACTTAGGTCTTTTTAATGTGGTATTTGTGTATGTGTTTTTGCTTTGTTTTTTGGTTTTATTTCAGAAACTTCGCTTCTGAGGTATTGGGTCATTTTTTTCTCCAAGTGCGTTTGAAAATCATGCTGCGTATTTTAATGTCAAGCTACACATTTTATAAAGGAGTGTGCATACAGCCTTTCTTACGCTAAGAAATATGAATAAAATGAGAAAAGGCTTTTTAAAAACCTTAATAAGTGGAGTGCAGATTTATCACAGGGGGAACCTGCTTCACTGGAATACAGCGATATATGTCCATTGGTCAGTTTCATTCACATGAGGCACACTCCATTACTTGCTGTGAGCAAGAAAAAGGTTACCTGACCCAACTGAAGAGTATTAGCTTTTTTTTTCAGCTATGAAAAAATTGCTTTGCCACTTAGGTCAGCATCATGATATAAATCTTAATGAAAGTTTCTGAGATGTGAGAGTAAATCAAGCTGTTTGGCCACCTTGATGCTCTCCTAATCTGCCTCTTTCTTGCTTTATTTCCTTCAGTCAGGTTTAGAGACCACAGAACTCAAGGCAGACCCATTTACAGAGCAATCACCACTCCAGCCAGCCATTCTGGCCCTTCCAGCACCCAAGGCTGAAGATAACTGAGATCCATGGATTAGTACTGTCTTTTATGGAGTAAAATGAAAGAAATCCAAATTGTCCTTTCATTTCATTTGAGGAATTAAAAAACCCTGTCATTTATTTGGGAGCCTATGTCTCTATTGCACAATGAATAATTGAGTGAGATTGTTATTATAAGACAACAGTTATCTGAATTATTTTAATGGATTAGTATGGAACACAAAGCTACTAAACAAACTAATTTGATTATTTTCCCAATTTCTGTGATCTATATGGGCATAGTTATTGAATTAGACTGTGCTTTCTATTATAAAAATGAATTATTTTAAAATGCAATAAAGCACTCAAATAATCTAAGTGAAATTCAAATAACTTTAGAAAGAATACACTGTGATTGTTTGAAGTCATGTGTTCATTCACTCAATAATATATTTGACAACTACTTACTAAATGCCCATTCAATTGGTATAAATGTGTCAAGTCTTTATTTTGGTCCCAGGGACATTGTGATGAACAAGACATACGAGATTCTTACTCTCACAAATAGTATGTGACAATGGGAGGGGAGAAATAAGAAATAAACAAGACAATTTTACATAGTGGTAAATGCCATGAAAAAAATAAAACCAGATTATATGAAGGAATGACTTGTTGGGGGAACATTTAAAAATTTAATTGGATGGTCAGAGAAAGCCTCATTGGTTAAGGCATTCTTTCCAAAAAGCATCAACTTTAGGACTATATAGGGTAAAGAATTCTGGGCAGAGGACTTATCAAGTGCAAAGCCTTTAAGATAAGAATTAACTTCAAGGAAGAATAATGGGATTGGTGTTCAGAAGAGAAGAGAGAAAGTTCTAGGAGATGAAGTTGGAGAGTATATTATGTAGAAGCTTTAGA
The DNA here is from genome assembly GCF_000001405.40 of Homo sapiens. NCBI lineage: Eukaryota > Metazoa > Chordata > Mammalia > Primates > Hominidae > Homo > Homo sapiens. The sequence goes on from NC_000005.10 coordinate 87,570,113, forward strand.
AATGGCCTGGCTCCATACTATGAAATCAGTGCCAATTACTCCTAAGGCTGCTCTAGATAAAAAGCACAAGTGGTCAAAGTGAGGTGGAGAATGCTGCATAGACTAAAGTAAAGTACAGATGGTATTTGCTATGGACTGAATTGTATCACTCTCAAATTCATCTGTAAAAGCTCTAACATCCCATGTGACTGTATTGGAGACAGGACCTTTAGGGAGGTGACTATGGTTAAATGGAATCACAACAGTGGAGCTCTGATTCAACAGAACTGGTGCCCTTATAGGAACAAGAAGAGATATCAAATATCTTCACCCTCCCACCCCTGAGGGAGGACACAGCAAGAAGGTGGTCATCTCTAAGCCAGAAAGAGAGCCCTCACTAGAACATAACCACGTAGATTTCAAACTCTAGTCTGAAGAACTGTGAAAAGGTAAACTTCTGTTGTGACTCAGTCTGTGGTATTTTGTTATAGCAGCCTAAGCTGACTAATACTAATATTGAAAGCAGTGGACTAGGTAAAAGGGCTTGTGTAAATAGAGATGCATTTGTATAAATAGAGAAAATAAAAAGGCTGAATCCCAGAGTAATCAATATTTAGAGGTATGGAGAGAATTTGGGGCCAGAAAAAAAATTGTAGAAGATTTAAAAATCTAGAGAGTGTGATGTTGTAAAACTCAAGAAAGTTACAAGTAAGAGGGAGTAGTTGATTATGTGTAAGGCAGCTGAAGGATGACCTGAGGTAAGAACTTGGAGACTATTTATAATGTGGCAATAGTAGAATCAATGGAACACTGGCAACATCCCCAAATGGGGCATGTTAAAGAAAGAACAATATGTTAGGAAGAACAGCAATGACCACTGATAAATCTTTTCAGAATTGTTATGAAGGGAAGTAGAGAATAAGAAGACATCAGGAGAGGAGTAGGAGGGCAAACAAATTTTTTTTCAAAGATGAAGAAAAATTAAAAAAATATTTGTATGCTGATGGTAGAAGCTGACGATTAGAAGAAGGATGAGATAATTGCTAAGTGACTTCCTCTAGAAGATGAAAGGAGATGGAGTCCACAACACAAGGGAAAGCCCAAACCTTGGGTAAAAGATAGGCCATAATTCCATCTATTTCATGAGGAGGGACAGCAGACAATATTAAACAGATGCAGAAAGCCTAGTAGATTTGGTGGTGAGAAGATAAGACAGTTCCAATGTGAGCCTATTCTTAATGAAATATGAGGAAAGATAATATGTTGCAAGTCAAGAGGCAGAGTAGTTGGGGGAAAGTTGAATATTTAAGGAGAGAGGAAAAGTATGAAAGTCATTTTAGGAAGGGAGGGAGTACATTTACAAGGGAAGTTTGATGTTTAAGCATACTTGATGTCTTTTTGTAGGGTGTGGTTACACATTTATAGTAAGGGAAGTCACTATTGTTGTGTATTTTTCTCTAACTCTAATTAATTGCATGGGTACTTGTAAGCAGTGGACAGATAATTGAGTTAATATACAGTTCCATTTTACATTGAAAACACAACAGGGATAGTGCATCAAGGGAGTTGAGGGTGTTCTAAGGGAGTGTTGGATTATGGACCACAAAACAGATAAGGAAGGAAATCCAGGCATCAGGAAGATGTAAGGTAAATGACTTGGGGGTCTCAAGTATAGTTCAAGAAAGCCTTTCTGACATATAAATGTCTTAGTATTTGGCTAGAAAAATAATCATATATACAGGTATTTTACATAGCATTTTAAAAATAGAAAACTTCATCTTCGATCTTAATACTACACACAAAGAGTTAAGAAGAGGAATGGCAATATAAAACGAGTGGGTCTAAATTAATTTATATTTAATTTTGAAATATCATCAGATAAGTGCAATCTTTTACAAGTATAGAGATATGTTTGGACATCAGATAAATCGTCATTATAAAGATGAAGAAACTGAAATACACAGAAATCATATGCTGTTCTTAAGTTCATGCAGCAGATTTAAGACATCAGAACTATGATGAATTTTGTGCATCCTAACATATTATAAGACTATTTTTATATCTATTTCTCTAATAGAAGTTTACTTTCTGCCCTAGGTGGGTGTTCTGATCAGCAGAGCAGCTCTTCCTCATACAGTAATTCAGGTCCTCAGGCTCCTTCCATCTGTGCCTTCGCCATAGCCTATGACCTCATTGTCATCTCCATTTAGCATGCAGGGGAACCACTGGAGGTTTTTATCTGACAGGCCTGCAAAATAGCACGTATCACTTCTGCTCACATTCACTGAATAGAACTTGGTTACATGAATCCACTTACCTACAGGATAGGCTAGAAAATATAACCTTGCTATGTGCACAAAAGAGCAGAAGAAAGTTTTATATACAGTACAGCTAGCTGTCTCTCTGATAGCCCCTGGCTACCAAATACTTGTGCAGTCTTTCTCCTCACACAGTGAACACACGATAAACTCTCCAAAGGGAAAGAACACAAGGTTTGTCCAGTTACATCATTATGCCAAAAGTTACGATCTCTGGGTATTTGTTCTCCATAAGATCCAGATATACTTCTTCATGGTACAGCAACCAGTGAACTAAAAAATAGGTTTGTTACCTTTCCCAAACATACCCCCAATGCACAATGGTGGAACAGGGATAATCTAACTGCAATGAGGACTCAGACACAGGAGGACTAGGAAACAATGTCGGTGACTGGCACATACCTAGGATGGAATCCTGCTCACCAGGCATGATGACTATTTCACCTGGTAGTGGAGACACTTTCTTATTTATTTATTTATTTATTTATTTATTTATTTATTTATTTGAGATGGAGTCTCGCTCTGTCGCCCAGGTTGGAGTGGAGAGGCGTGATCTCGGCTCACTGCAACCTTCGCACCCAACACCCCCCAGCCGAGTTCACGCCATTCTCCTGCCTCAGCCTCCCGAGTAGCTGGGACTACAGGCGCCGGCCACCACGCTTGGCTAATTTTTTGTATTTTTAGTAGAGACAGGGTTTCACCGTGTTAGCCGGGATGGTTTCAATCTCCTGACCTCGTGATCCGCCCTCCTGGGCCTCCCAAAGTGCTGGGATTACAGGCATGAGCCACCGCACCCAGCCCAAGACTTTCTTAAGTAGACACTGACTCTGCTTTCTGAAAGGGACTCTTCTGTCTCGTGTTCTCCTTGCCCCCTGGCTCTACATCTGAAAGACACTATTTTGATCATTGTTTTCCACGGCCATAATGGAGGTGGGTTTTGGAGAGTCTGACTCCAGTATAGGCTTGGAGGCTATTCAGCTTTCACAGCCTCCTTCCTGCCCATGAAATGTTGAGAACATAAGGGTTGTTTTAAGACTTAGGCATTCAAAGCCTTCCCATCTGCTTTTTTAGGTTCACAATATAATTCTGTCAAGAACTCACTAGACTTATGATCTATTTTCTTTCTTTGCTTATAACTATAACCTACTTATATTCTCAAATCCACTTACTTATTTGCTTTCTTGCTACTAGCTCTCTCTCTTAACCAGTGGAGGCTATCTTGAGGTCATATGAAATAATACATGATAATAATACTTAACAAAGAACTGAATCTTTTTGTATAACCAAGAAGAGTTAACAAGCTTCTAGTAGCCTAAAACGAAATCATTTCCCCAAATTTATCAATTATACTTGGGCTCTGGAAGCTGAATTATTCAACCCTATAATTTTAATCTCTGCTCTGTCTCTATCCACTTTAATTTCTGCTTGAAACCATCCAATTTTGGCCTAATCTCATCTCTTTCTGGTAATCTTGCTAAATATGATCATTACTAACACACACTAAATAGTCTAATTTTTTCCAGTCTTTTCTGGGTTTTATTACAAACTCCATGGACGTTTGTTCTGCTGTCCGACTTTTTGTAGGCAATGGTTTTACCAAATGTGTTGGCATGGCATGATCTCTAGTCTTCTAGTTTGCTGTATCTATTTTCTTGCTGCTTGGCCCCTGCTGTAATTTTTGTCGCATTTCAAAGCTCTTAGCTGTGGCAGTACTTAATGTGGTGCCAATTTTTATATTAGCCAGAATAGGTTAGGCCATGATAAAAACAGTTTAGTAAATTAGCTACTAGCAATAAGTTTATTTCTTGTGAGTATTCCAAGCAGATAGTTGTTGGGGTGGCTCTCCCACATGAGGTCATTCAGGGACACAGGCTACTTTCATCACATGGCTCTCCCACCTCCTGTCACTTCCATCTACCTGGCCAAGAGAAGAGAACCTAAGGGAGTGCATCTGGTAGGTTTTTATGAGCCAGGCCTGGAAATAACACGCATCATGCCTGCTTATATTCTATTGGAAAAAGATAATCATTTTGCTACACCTAACTACAAGAAGGCTGGAAAGTACAATCTTGGATTTTTTTTTTTTTTTAAAGAAAAAGAAGAGTAGATTTTGGTGGGCAGCTAAGAATTACTGCTACTTTACATACTTACTGAATCCAAATTATGATATTGAAGTTTAGGATTCAGGTTTTTGACAATGTTTTCAAGTGATAAAATTTTCAAGTTAAAAATTAGGGTTGAAGATGAATATATATTTAGAATTAGGAACAAATTATCAATTATAAAATGGTGACAACTACCAAAAAAAGTCACAAAACATAGCTAACATATATATCTTCTGTTTATGTATTACATATAAAATCTTCTGTTTATGATTTTACATCTCTGATTATATATGCATAATTAATTGCCTAATACAGCTATGGTAGGCTGCAATATGGTCCCCCCAAAATGTCCACATTCTAATCTTGGAACCTTCCTCCTATAAAAGTGTAATTACAAGGTTTTTATAGGAGGAAGGCATGAGGGTTAGAGATAAAAAGGAGAGATGTGAGGGTGGAAGCAGGGTCGAAGAGGAGACGGGCTGCTACTGCTGGTTTTGAAGATGGAGGAAGGGGACACAAACCAAGGAATAACTGCCTCTAGTAGCTGAAAAGGTCAAGAAAACACATTCTTCTCTAGCTTTTCCAGAGGAAGGCAGCCCTGAAGACCTATTTTAAACTTTTGACGTTCAGAACTCTAAGATAATAAATTTGTGTTGTTGTAAGCCACTCAATTTTTAGTAATTTGGTAACAGCAGGAACAGGAAACTAATATGACACTTCTATAAAGATTTTTCGTATATTTTTTGACTACATACACTTTGGTAACATCTTGTAACAATGTTTTAACAATATTTAAAAATATTTCATGTTTAAAAATATATTTATAAATATTTCATGTTTTAAAAATATTTATAAATATTTCATATTTTAATACAAAAATTACTCAGTTTTTCTTTTAGCCAAAAACATTAAAATTTGTTTTTTGTTGGTAGTTGAGGTGCATACAATATGTGACTTCTCATAGATGTGCTATTTTTAATACTGCTATAATTTTGAGCTCTACAAAGAGAAAGTTTCTGATAAATTTTGCTTTGCATAAGTCCCACATTAAAAAGAGCTGCATGTATAATTAAATATTCTGTCTAATCGAGTATAGTTCTAACAATACATAAATTCCATTTTGGCAAGGCATCAGTGAGACTCAGGTATTTTGCTTATAATTTTATATCTCTGATCCTATGAATTTTACCAGAATAATATGTGACTCTCTACATTTTAAATCTTGTTTTCTTTCCATTACCCACACTTTTGGTGATGAGTGCTGTAGGACTTGCTTATTTGCTGCATGGCCTCTTGTCCTGAACCTCTGTGCCATAATATTGGGTGCATTAGGGTAAGCGACAGTGGTACTATTCCAGGGATTACTTCTCTAATGGAAAAAATTAGGATATCCAACCATATGCAAACTAAAGGTGCTCCAACTCAACTTCTGTTTTGGGAAGTCAGGGATCCCGAACGGAGGGACCTGCTGAAGCCATGACAGAAGAACATAAATTGTGGAGATTTCATGGACATTTATCACTTCCCCAATCAATACTCTTATAATTTCCTATGCCTGTCTTTACTTTAATCTCTTAATCCCATCATCTTTGTAAGCTGAGGATGTATGTCGCCTCAGGATCCTGTGATGATTGCGTTAACTGCACAGATTTTTTGTAAAGCATGTGTGTTTGAACAATATGAAATCTGGGCACCTTAAGAACAAGATAACAGTGATTGTCAGGGAACAGGGGAGATAACCTTAAAGTCTGGCTGCCTGTGGGCCAGGCGGAACAGAGCCATATTTCTCTTATTATTGAAAATGGGTAAGAGAAATATCGCTGAATTTTTTCCCCAGTAAGGAATATTAATAATTAACAGCCCTGGGAAAAGAATGCATTCCCGGGGGGGCCTCTAAAATGGCCTCTCTGGGTGTGTCTGCCTTATGCACTTGCAGATAAGAGATGAAACATGCCCTGGCCTCCTGCAGCGCCCCCAGGCTTGCTAGGATTAGGAAATTCCAGCCTGGCGAATTCTAGTCAGACTGGTTCTATGCTCTTGAACCCTGTTAAGATGTCTATCAATGACAATGCATGCAGAGTGGGACATGGAAGTTCATTAGTGATTCTAGTTTCACCCTGACCTTGTGATCTCACCCTGACCTTCTGCCTTGTGATCTTTTGTTGCCCTTGAAGCAAGTGATCTCTGTGACCCACACCCTATTCATACGCTCCCTTCCCTCTGAAAATTGCTAATAAAAAATTGCTGGTTTTGCAGCTCAGGGGGCATCACGGAACCTGCCGACATGTGATGTCTCCCCCGGACACCCAGCTTTAAAATTTCTCTTTTTTGTACTCCTTTCCCTTTATTTCTCAGACCAGTCGACACTTAGGGAAAACAGAAGAGAACCTACATTGAAATATCGGGGGCGGGTTCACCTGATAAACTTCTCTGTAACTAGATCCTACAATCACCCATAGTTAGTAAATCTAATGTTATCTGACACTGGATAATATGAGAGAAGGTGACTTGGAGAGACAATAGTCAGTAGAAGGATTATGATTAAAATAGCTTATTTAGCAATTTTTATAAATATTAATACTAATGACTATGTGAACCCATTGCTGGGTACACTCCAAAAACCTCAAAGGGGGTCATGCAGGTGATGTGAACTTTATTAAGATCATGACCCTGATTCTTTTTGTTTGAATTTGTCTAGAATATATTCTTTTATTTCCACAATTTCTGAAATATATTGTTTTCTATGGTTTCAGATATGACAATTTTATATAGCACAGAATTGGATTTGCTTTATGATCCAATGTAAAAGTCCTTTTCTCTTAACGAAAACCTAGACCTGTTTGTATTTATGTATATAAAATGTATGATTAGTTATAATTCAATAATTTTATGAGTCTCAGTCTGTTTTTGTTTGAAAATAACTATGTGGTTATTTCTATTCATTTTTAGTTTTTTTCTTCAGAAATTTTAATAATATGTATATTTTAGTCCATTTGCTATATCTCTAATCCTTTTAAATTATGTTTTTGTTTCAATATCGTTCCTTTCGATTTTCTTATTTTTGTTTTCTATTTATCTTTCTTGCTTTCATCAGAATCTCTTCTCTGTGCACTTTCCATTTGGCCTTCATTTTGGAGTTGGTTTCCTTTGTATCTTCTACTTATTTTCTGAGTTCTGACAGCTCACATGTCATCTGCCTTTATTGATCCACAGTCTTTTCCTGAGCTCATGTAACTTTTATGTTCTTGTTTTATAGATAGTCATTCTAACTCATTAAAAATATTTGGTCAAGATTTTTATCTGCTCTGTGGCAATATATCTGTAGTAGAGTGTTTTCATCATTTCTCTATCTCCAGTTATTTTTTTTTCTAATGTCATTCTATAGAGCCAACCAGTGCTGTTTTTCTTTTTTATTAACAACTTACTTTTGAATGAATAAAGTAAACTTTTCCTTAATTAGCCATGTACATAAAGTTTGTATGTCCTAAGGACCATGTTATAAAATAGCAGAAAATCTTCAAGCCCATGGTTTGGGGTGTGAGGTTTTTTTATCCTTTGCCTTTTAAAAATCCATTAGAAACAAATTGTTTTCACTAAAGTCCCTGTTATTACTCTCCCCCAGCATTTGGTTAGACCATTCATGCAAATATAGCTTGTCTGCAGGATTACTTTTATAACACTTCTTTCTATATTTATCAAGACAGAACTGGGTTCAGAGATGCTTCCACATCTTCAGCTAAGCCCATTCATTTTGGAACTGATGTTGCAAACAGGAATTTAGGGTTTGACTATCTGAGTGTGCCCCTTATGCAGCCTTTCTTAGCCAGCATTTTTTGAGTATTGCAATCATAGGTCTAGACCTGACCCACCCTCCCCAACAAAAATATTAATTGCTCTAGGGCACAATTTCTACCTGTTTTGTGGTTTGTAGTTTCAATAGTCTTCTAGATTTTCTACAGAGATTTAATTTCTGTTTCTTGATCTTGTTGGTCTCCTTGTTGCCTTTTCTTGATGAGATAGGATCTTCCTATATTGCCTAGGCAGGTATCTAACTTCTGGGCTCAAGTGATCCTCCCACCTCAGCCTTCCAAGTAGGTGGGACTGTAGGTGTACACCACCATGCTCAGCTTTCTCCCTGTTGCTTTTGTGTAATTTTGAAATAAGTGGAAACAACCAACTCTCCAGCAAAGTTTTTAGTAAGCCAGCCAGCATTTTTAAATTGGTTTTGTTTTACTGTCTTTTGATGAGTGCTCAGATTATATAACCACAAAAATCAAAAGCTATAATTTATAAGAAATCTGAAAGTGAATGTGATCAATCAAATCTATAGAATCCATATATAAATGTTCTTGAGAAAACTTAGCTTGGCTTATATGTATGTGTGTGTTTTAACAGCAACATTCACAAAATTCAATAAAACATTAAAAACATTTGAATGCATACTTTTGTGTGGAAATCAAAGCTTTATGTCACACTTACTGACATCAAATTAACAATTTTAAAGAGTAGACAAGCATGACTATCCAAAATATCTGAAAAGTATTATATGAGTAGTACAAAATATGTGTTATTGGAGCACAGAGAAAGGGAAAGTGTAGTTGTTGAGATGAAATTGTGACATATGCTAATATTAGTTTTTTATTCTGATAAGATAAATGCAAGAAGACTGATGGAGATAATGAAATTGATACTCATTTTAGTCTCTCTATATACAAATGACAAGAAATTAAAGAATTAAATGCATATTCTGTAGTCTTTTCAATAAATCTTGACAAGCACATAGTACATTAGTTGCATAATAAAGAATTTGACTGATTTTTGTCCCTGGTTCCTGAAAGAAAGACTAAATCCTTGGAATTTCCTCAACAATAGAAGTATCTTTGTTATGTATGAACACCTTGGATCACACCTGAATTTATACTAGGGAGATGAAACAGAATAGGGACTGGTCACCAGAAAGACCAACTTAGTGATGAGAGAGTTTGGCCTTTGAGTCAGTCCAACTTTCGGGGAGGAGAGGAAGCCTAAAGATTAAGTTCAATCACATGGACAATGATTCACTCAATCATGCCTAAGTAGTGGATTAACCAAATAAAATATCTGGACACTGGAACTCAGTGAAGCTTCCTGGTTGGTGAACACATGGATAGACTTGAAGGGTGATATGTTCTGATTTCATGGGGATGGGACATGGAAGCACTGTATCTGGGAGTCTCCCAGGCCTTACCTTGTATGTCTCTTCATTTGGCTGGTATCCTTTTAAATAAAGCTGTACTCAGATGTGTAACAGTTTTGTGAGTTCTTTCAGTTCTTCTAGTGAATTGTGAAACCTGAAAGGGTTATGTAGCTAGTTGGTGAGAAGTGTGGGTGGTTTGGGGACCTCCAAAGTGTAGCTGATGTCTTAAGTAAGGGCAGTCTCATTGGGAACCATACTCTTTAACTTGTGGTGTTTGTGCTAACTCTGGGTGGTTAGCATCAGAATTGTGTTGCAGTATATCTATTGGTGTTGTAATAATATCCCAATTTCCAAAACAAGTCTAGGGAAACAAAGATAAATAAGACTCCCTATCTCCAAGGGCCTCACAGTTTAGGATGGAGAATTACACCCTTAAATTTTCATAAAATAAATGTTTGTGACTCTGTATGTTTTAAGGTTATGATATATGTAATAGATTTTACAAAGCGTTCAAAAAATTGTAATAATTTAATAAAATCAATAAAGGTTATTAGCATCTAAAGTGATACCATGGCTGTGTAACTGAGGTGTTACTTTAATTTTGGTCAAGGTGGAGCTTTATACTTTATTTTGTGAGCACCTTTTAAGATATTACATTATTCTATAAAATATGATTATGGAATATTAACTTTCATGCCTTTGGAAAGGAGAGCACTTGCTTTTTATTGGGATTGGGCTGTACCAAAAGAGATTGCCATTTTGTAGTTCAAATATGGTCAAGTATTGGCTGCTACACTATTTCACATGAATCAACATAATAATTTTAAATACATTTGCAATGCCCAGCATTGAACACATAATAGTGTTCAAAAATACTTGCTGATGGATTTTATAACCATTAAAATTTGTTTCAGATCTGTACAATATCAATTAACTTTTAGTTATAAACTGCCACAAAGAGAACATTAAACAATTTTAAAGAAGTGTTTTTAATAAATTGATTTTGTAGTGATATGGCCTTGAAACAGCAATGTTATTTTTCAAAAATATCTCTAGTAAAATGTGAAAAAATAAAAAATTACATACAAGTTTACATCACACACAATAAATACACTTTTGAAAATGAAAGTAAACCAAACACCTTGCTGTGTATCAATGTAGTTTCTAAGGGAAAGTGTGTTTATTCAATGATCATAAACATTTTAGGGTTACTGTAAGTGTGGCATACAAGGCAATTTTATTGACTATTTACAGTATAGATCTGATTAGTTCTCAAACCAGAATTAGAATCAAATTCAGCTATTCTTTAGATTTCTTAAGGTAATTAGGTTTTTAATGGAAGAATTGCTGTGGTACAGCTAAGGTGAAGTTCTGGAGTGGGAAGTGTTTTAGAACCATCTGGAGGGCATTGGGTTATACATGCCAGTGCACATGACCTGTGGCTTCTACATGTCTAAACAGCTTTACCTGCAACCTCTAACCCCTAATCAGCTATGTGGGAACATCAACATGTGTGCCAATACCAAAAAACAACAACAACAAAAAAAACCCACCAAAAAAACCCCAGCATTTTGCTGTTGTCCAGAAAATCCTCATGATGGTCTTTTGATAAGGTACAAGTAGTATGTATGCAGAAGATAATGGAATATTAGTCATTGAAAAAAGAAATATTCTGATGGAAAGAAGGAAAAAATGGCAAAGTGGGAAAAAATAGAAAAAAATAAGCATTTTTTTATGGCTGGTGAACGCATTAATTGAAGAACTATTTATACAGGAATAAAATCATTTTGAAATAATCATACAACAACAAAAACTGCAGCTAAATATGGGGTATATTCATGTACTCTGAGGATAGGAATTCAAATCCTCTTACCCCCACTCATAATAGTAAACCTCCCCCATTTTCTCCCTTGGGTACTAGAGATGTGTGCTTACTCTTTCTCAGTGAAAATATTCAGTGTTAACAGTACACATTAGTTTGCTAGGGCAGCCATAACAAAACACAACAAACTTTGTGGCTTAAACAATAGAAATATTTTCTTATAGTTCTGGACTCTAGAAGTCCAAGATCAAGGTATTGGTAGGCTTGATTTCTTCAAAGGCCTCTCTGCTTGGCTTGCTATGTCCTCACATGACCTTTCCTCTGTGTATGTACATCCCTGGTGTATCTTTCTGTGCCAAAATTTCCTCTTCTTATGAGGACACTAGTCAGATTGGATTAGGACCCACCCCAGTGACTCCATTTTAACTAAATCACCTGTTAAAATATTTTATCTCCAAGTACAGTTACATTCTGCAATACTGTGAATTAAGGCTTTAATATATGAAGTTCAAGGGGAAACAATTCGATCCATAACACAGTGAAACAAGTATACTTCATAGCATGCTAAAACTTATTTTGATTTATTAAATTCTAGTATGTGAGATAATTTGCTGTCAGAAGATAACATTGTTTACTAAGTTGATTCTAGAAAAGAAAAAATTGATTTTGTTGGAGAATTATAAGTAACAAAACTGAGAGATTTTCAGTTCCTCTTAAACGTAATAGTATGGTTGTTAATCTTCTTATTTTTTCCTTCTTGAAACCTCATAGAACAAACAAATAAAATCAACAACCTATGTGTTCTATGAATCAAGATGACCAAACTCAAAACTATTTGAAAAGGTATCGAAAACAACTTTGCTGACCTTAGGCCCACATAGGAAGTTGTGACAGGGCTCTGGACAAGAAAAATGAGCACAGGGGAGACTCAGCTGTAGCAGATCTCATACATTTACAGCAAATATTTAATTCCAGAAAGATAATGCCCTACCTGAGCATTATCTGAGATTGCGCAGGTCTGAGATCGCACAGGTCATGATGTCTTGGGTTCATGGAGAAAGAGTATAGAAAGTTACAGTAAGGGGGAAATAAAAAAGCCCTTTAAAAGAAAAACTATTTGCTTATGACTACAACCTAGAAAGAAACCAAAAAGAACTGAGGGTTGGCAGTAGAAGTTTTCCAGAGCCAGGTTAGATTCTAAGAGGCAGTGGAAACATGTCTTTACAGAAGCACCATATAAGGAAGAAACAGCCGTTTGCTCAGGAGATTCTTAACAGGTGTAACTTGGAAAGTTATCCTGGTCCTTCTTAATATTTTTCTAACTCAAGGAAATTTTAACTTATTCAAGTAACAAGAAAGAAATATTTATGGTATTCATACAAAAATATTAAAATACGAAAAAGAGGCAGCATATTTTTTCTGCTAATTATAAAAATGTATCAGAAAATTGTTGAGTAAAGCAGATGAAAACTGTAGCCAACATAACAACATGAATCCAAAAAAGAAAATAATGGAGCCATAAAGAAAAATTCACATAACAGAAGTACAAGATCTCAGGGAGGTGATGATAAGACAAAAGGAAGGTCTGAAACTATAACTGGAAGAACTTGGCAGGGGAATTGAAGAAAAAGATAAAATTTTCAGAAATAGAGACTAATTACTAAGAACATAGGGGAAACAGAAACACACAAAGAGAAGATACAAATACAAAAAGAAAGAACAAAATGAAGTTAAAATAAAGAGATAAAAATGAATTATAGGAAAAACCATAGATATATAAATCAGCCAAAGGAGATCCAAAAACTGTATAATTTAAGTCCCAGAAAAAGAAAATCAAAACAATAGGATAGAACAACTATTTAAAACTATCCCAAATACTTTCTTTAGACAAGCAAAATGACTTACATTTCAAATTGAAGGGCCAAATAAAAACTGGCCCAGAATGATCCACATAGAGACATAACTTAGAATTACAAGACTCCAAAGATAAAGATTGGCTAGTAACATGCTGCAAGGGTCCAGTGAAAGAATATGCAAAGCTAATGGTTTTATATCCAATCAAGTTTACTTCAAGTATAAAGGCTACTGCAAAACGGTTTTGAATATGCAAAAACTTAAGAAATATTGTCCAAATAAATTGTTTTTGAAGAAAGCATTAGAGGGCAAACTTCAAGTAATCAACGGATAAAACTTGAGCAAAGGGACTCATAGTTATGGGATCTTCAGATGTCTGAAAACATAGTAAATGTTCTGGTATATGAACATAGGTATATATTCTGGTTAAAACTTTTGGGTAGAGAGAATGCCCATCAATGATAGACTGGATAAAGAAAATGTGGTACATATACACCATGGAATACTATGCAGCCATAAAAAAGGAATGAGATATGTCCTTTGCAAGGACATGAATTAAGCTGGAAGCCATCATCCTCAGCAAACTAACACAGGAACAGAAAACCAAACCCTGCATGTTCTCACTCATAAGTGGGAGATGAACATGGGGAACAGATGGACACAGGGAGGGGAACAACACACACCAGGGCCTGTTGGGGGGTGGCAGGTGAGGGGAGAGAATTTAGAATATAGGTCAATAGGTGCAGCAAGCCACCATGGCACATGTACACCTATGTAACAAACCTGCACGTTCTGCATATATATCCCAGAAATTAATGTAAAAAAAAAAAAATGAAAAAAAAATTAACCTACAAAAAAAAAAAAAAACTTTTGGGTAAAGAGGTAGAATATGAAGATTAATAGATGGTAACTGTGGATGTATACTTAAAAGCTCTATTACTATCTAAAAAATTTTTGCTAATATACTTGAGTCCCTCTTGGGTTCAGAATATATTTGATAACCAAAGAATTCAGAATTTGATATGCTAATCACATCAAATAATCAGATCAATTTCCTAACTCTGACTATGTAGTCAGTACATGTAGGGAACCATTAATGCAGAGAAGCCATAGGGAGAGAGATCTTGTTTCAGCCGTGTGACTCTATGATCATATACAAGGCACCTAATTACCTTTGACTTGTTTCCTTATCTGTAAAAATACTATGAATTGGTTTTACTTATTGTGCTTTTCCTCAATATGCATGTGTGGGGGATGTGTAGGAAGGAAGAGAGAGGGAGAGAAAAGGAGAGAGAAATGAAGAGGAAAAGATAGAGAGGTGTTTGTTTTCATATTTATGGGTAAAGAGTAAACCCCACTTAACAAAGAATGGGAAATTTTTAATCTTTTGTAATCATCTGCAGCAGTTTTTAAAGCATGGAAATCATTTGCTCCATATTCCTTTTTTTAAAATTTTTATTTTAGCTTTGGGGTACATGTGAAGGTTTGCTACACAAACACAAGATCACAAGGGTTTGTTTTACATATTATCAAGCTCAGTACCCAATAGTTATTGTTTCTGCTCCTCTCCTTCCTTCCATACGCCTCCCTCAAGTATGTCCCAGTGTCTGTTTTTTCCTTCTTTGTGTTCATAAATTCTTATCATTTGGCTCCTACTTATGAGGGAGAACAAACAGTATTTGCTTTTCTGTTCCTGCATTAGTTTGCTAAGAATGATAGACTCCAGCTCCATCCATGTTTCTGCAAAATATGTGATCTCATTCTTTTTTTATGGATGAATAATATTCCATGGTGTATATGTACCACATTTCCTTCAGCCAGTCTGTCATTGATAGGCATTGAAGTTGAATCCATGTCTTTGCTATTGTGAACAGGGCTGCAATGAACATTCATGTGCATTCGTCTTTATGGTAGAATGCTTTATATTCCTCTGGGTATACAACTAGTAATGAGATTGCTGGGTTGAAGGGTAGTTCTGCTTTTAGCTCTTTGAAGGATTACCATACTTCTTAATTAAAATAGTTATTGCTTTATTTAGATTCTCTCTGTCCAACATTTAGCCTTTATGTTAATAAAATACATTTTTTACAAAGCATTTTAATATATTAATTATACTTTAATTTTAATTTTGATTTTAATTACTTCCTTTTTCCTTCTTTCCTTAAGCTGGTTTTGCTGCTTATTTCTTAACTTTTTGCACTTAAAGAAATTTTTCTTTATTTTCTTACTTTCCTATCCAGTAATAAATAGAAGTTTTTAAGACTGAATTTGCCCCTGAGTAAAGCTTTGGTTTAAGCTTTTGACCTTTGATACATAATTATTTAACTATTACGGAATTGCATTTTTGATCTATTCACTCAAAAACCTTTTAAGAAAGTGATTTTAAGTTGTAAAAATGTATTTTAGTCTTTTAACTTCAATTATTAGTGGCCAGCAACTATGGCTTAGATTATCTTTTAACTTCACCCAGTATATAGTCAGAACATTCAACTTTTTTCTGTTTTCTTCCTTTTTTACACTTTGTTTAATTGAGGTGGAATATACATATAAAATTTATCTTCACCATTTCTAAGTGTATAGTTCAGTGGTAATAAGTACATTTATATTCTTTTCTTCCTCCCTTCATCCCTCCCTTCCTTGTACCATTTCTGACCTCTGGCACCCTACCCCCATTCTACTCTCTTTTTATGAGATCCTTTATTTTATTTTATTTATTTATTTTTTGAGATAGAGTCTGGCTCTGTCACCCAGGCTGGAGTGCAGTGGCGCGATCTTGGCTCACTGCAACCTCTGCCTCCCGGGTTCAAGCGATTCTCCTGCCTTAGCCTCCTGAGTAGCTGGGACTACAGGCACGTGCCACCATGCCCGGCTAATTTTTGTATTTTTAGTAGAGATGGGTTTCACCATGTTAGCCAGAATGGTCTCCATCTCTTGACCTCGTGATCCACCTGCCTCGGCCTCCCAAAGTGCTGGGATTACAGGCATGAGTCACCATGCCCGGCCATGAGATCCATTTTTTAAGCTCCCATATATGAGTGAGAACATGCAATATTTGTCTCTCTGGGCGGGCTTATTTCACCTAATATAATGGCCACTGGATTAATTCATGTTGCTACAAATGACAGCATTTCATTCTTTTTATGGTTGAATAATATTCCATCATATAGATGTACTAAATTTTCCTTATTCATCCATTGATGAATGCTTAGGTTGATTCTATATCTTGGCTCTTGTGAAAAGTGCTGCAACAAACATGAGAGTGCAGATATCCCTTTGATATATTGATTTCCTTTCTTTTGGATATAAAACCACTATTGGAATTGCTTGATCATATAATAGTGCAATTTTTAGTTTTTTGAGGAATCTTCATGAGATTCTCCATAGTTGCTGTACAAATTTATATTCTCACCAACAGTGTATGTGTTCTTTTTTTCTCCACATCCTCACTAGCATCTGTTTTGTTTTGTCATTTTAATAATAGGTATTCTAACAGGGATGAGATGATATCTCATTGTGGCTTTGATTTGCATTTCTCTGACTGGTGATGTTGAGCAGTTTTTCCTTTATCTATTGTTGTTTGTATGTCTTCTTTTGAGAAATGTTTGTTCAGATCTTTCATCTATTTAAAAAATCAGATTATTTAGTGTTAATTCTTTTTTTGAAATTTTTTGCTATTGAGTTTTTTGAGTTCTTCTCTCTATATATTCTGGCTATTAATCCCTTATCAGATGGATAGTTATACTTTCCATTCTGTGAATACTTTCTCCCATTCTGTGGGTTTTCTTTTCACTTTGTTGATTGTTTCCTTTGTGGTACAGAAGCTGTTTAGCTTGATGTAATCCTATTTGTCTATTTTTGCTTTGGTTGCTTGTGCTTTTGAGGTTTTTTTTTTTTTTTTTTTTTTGAGACGGAGTTTCGCTCTTGTTGCCCAGGCTGGAGTGCAATGGCACGATCTCGGCTCACCTCAACCTCCGCCCCCGGGGTTCAAGCGATTCTCCTGCCTCAGCCTCCCAAGTAGCTGGGATTACAGTCATGCACCACCACACCCGGCTAATTTTGTATTTTTTTAGTAGAGACAGGGTTTTCTCATGTCGGTCAGGCTAGTCCCAAACTCTTGACCTCAGGTGATCTGCCCACCTTGGCCTCCCAAGTGCTGGGATTATAGGCGTGAGCCACCGTGTCCGGCCTGAGGTCTTACACAAAAAGTCTTTGCCTGGATTAATGTCCTAGATCATTTCTCCAATGTTTTCTTCCAGTAGTTTCATAGTTTGAGGTTTTAGATTTAAGTCTTTAATCGAATGTGATTTTATTTTTGTGTAGAATGAGAAAGAGGGTCTAGTTTCATTCTTCTGCATGTGTTTTCTCAGCACCATTTATTGAAGACTGTTTGCTCCCATCCTTGGCACCCTTATTAAAGATGAGTCGGCTATAAATGCATGACTTTATATCTGGAGTCTCAATTTTGTTTCATTGGTATATTTGTCTGCTTTTGTGCCAGTACTCTCCTGTTTTGGTATTTTGGTTACTATAACTTTGTAGTAAATTTTGAAGTGAGGTAGTATGCCTTCAGCTTTATCTTTTTTGTTCAGAATTTCTTTGGATATTTGAAGTCTTTGGTCATTCCATATAAATTTTAGGATTTTTCTTTCTATTTTTGTGAAGAATGTCATTTATATTTTGAAAGAGATTTCATTGAATATGTAAACTGCTTTGGGTAGTATTATCATTTTAAAATATCAATTTCTGCAATCCGTGAACTTGGAATATCTTTTCATATTTTTGTGTCCTCTTCAATTTCTTTCATCAGTGTTTTATAGCTTTCCTTGCATAGATCTTTTACTTCTTTAGTTATATTGACTCCTAAGTATTTTACATTTTTTGTAGCTGTTGTAAATGAAATTGCTTTCTTGATTTCTTTTTCAGATTCTTTGCTGTTTGCATATATCAATGCTATTGATTTTTATGTTGATTTTTTCATCCTACAAGTTTATTGGATTCATTTATCAGCTTTACCAGTTTTTTGGTGGCATTTTTATATTTTTCTAGGTTCTATGTTGTCTGTGAAGAAAGCTAGTTTGACTTCTTCCTTTCCAATTTCAATGCCCTTTGTTGTTTTTTCATCGCCTAATCGCTCTGGCTGGGACTTCCAGTATTATGTTGAATAACAATGGTGGGAGTGGGACTCCTTGTTTTGTTCCAGTCCTTACAAAAAAGGCTTTCAATTTCTGCGTCTTTAGTATGACGTTTGCTGTGGGTTTGTCATATATAGTCTTTATTATTTTGAGAAATATCAATTTTTTACCCATTTTGATGCAGGTTTTTATCATAAAGAGATGCCAAATTGTATCAAATGCATTTCTAGCATCTATTGAAATAAATAGATTTTATATTTGATTTATGTATGTTGAAATGTCTTTGCATCCCTAGATGCAAAAATATGATGTCTTTGCATCGTATTTGTTCATGGTGAATGATCTTTTTCACATGTTATTGAATTAGATTTACTAGTATTTTGTTGAGGATTTTTGCATATATGTTCATCAGTGATTTTGGCCTGTAGTTTTCTTTTCTTTATTGTGTCTTTGTCTGGTTTGAGTATCATTATAATGCTGGCTGTGTTAGTTGTGTTAGGGTTACTGAGAAGGACAGAACTGATAGAAGATGTATACGTGTGTGTGTAGCTGTATGTATATGTGTGTGTGTATATATATATATATATACACATATGAGTTAATTAAGTATTAACTTACATGATCACAAGGTCCCACCATAGGCAGTCTGCAAGCTTAAAGAGCAAAGAGAGCCAGTCTGCGTCTCAGAACTGAAGAACTTGTAGTTGGATGTTTAAAGGTAGGAAGCATCCAGCCTGGCAGAAAGATGTAGGCTGGGAGGCCATGCCAGTCCATCCTTTCACGTTTTTCTGCCTGCTGGCCACTGATTAGATTGTGCCCACAAGATTAAGGGTGGGTCTGTTTTCCCCAGCCCACTGACTCAAATGTTAATCTCCTTTGGCAACACCCTCACAGACACACCCAGAGTCAATACTTTGCATCCTTCAATCCAATCAAGTTGACACTCAGTATTAACCATCACAAGTCCACCCCTTGTCAACCTGAACCCATACACATCTCCTGAGATCATATATAATCTTCAAATAAAGACAATAATAAGCTCATAATTATACCTAATATAATACAACTATCCTTAGTACAACCAGAAACACACCAATCCCCAACCCAAATACTATTACATAAAGTTAACAATACTTAAATGCTAATATAAAGTCAATAAATTTTATGTCACATGATAAAGGAAAAGGAAATAAAATGAAGACATTTTCTTATACAAGTGTACACATGCACAAACATGTTTTTAACAAAAGAAGGAAGAAATACTCGTGACAGTTACAGTCCTCACTTCTGCAACTGGTCACGTGGTATTAGTTGGTATTGATGACTACATTCCTCTACTACCCATTCTGTATTCTCTTTGCCTTCAGTAAGCACCTCAGCAGGTTGTGGTTTTTTGTTTTGTTTTGTTTTGTTTTTCCTGATGGACTGACCCAAACCTTCATTCCTGAGGGGTCTGGACCATTTGTAGTTCTGCCTGGATTGGGCTGTTGTTGCTTCCCACTGACCTTAATCACAAGGCATAGTAATACTAAGAAACTCCCTAATGGATCTTCTGTATTCCATGCATACTCTTCCTTACCTCTGTTATAGAGTAGTAGACTGATTTCACCTTGATAGTCTGGGTCAGCCACCCCAGCCAACACTGTAACACCCTTCTTAGACTGTTGACTTAAAGGTAGGAGAAGCCAAAACTGTCCAGGTGGCAATCTTAACTTCCAGTTTAATGGAATCATTGTTGTGTCTCCTGGTGGCAGTGTTCCTCCCTCTGGAACTAAGACCTCTAGGCCAGCTGAACTTAATGCTGTGGGAACAGGAAGCAAAAATTTTGCTAGTGGATCACTAAGGATGATGATGAGTGTTGCCACTTCCACTTCCATCCCTTGATTTCTAGACCCACGAATCCTGACTATGGGAGAAACAGTACCATGTATTGGATGTTAATTCAGGGCATACATGGCCTTCTGGAGAACTTTGCCCCAGCCCTTCAAAGTATTGTTACCTAGTTAGCATTGTAATTGTGACTTCAGAAGGCCATTCCATCCTTCTATCAATCTAGCTGCTTCCGGATGATGGGAAACATGGTAAACCCAGTGAATTCCATGAGCATGAGCCCACTGCTGCACTGCTTTAGCCATAAAGTGAGTGTCTTGGTTAGAGGCAATGCTGTGTGGAATACCATGACAGTGGATAAAGCATTCTGTGAGTCCACAGATGGTAGTCTTGGCAGAAGCATTGTGTGTAAGATAGCAAACCCAGATCCGGAGTAAGTGTCTATTCCAGTGAGAGCAAACTTCTGCTCTTTCCATGATGGAAGGGGTCCAATATATTCAACCTGCCACCAGGTAGCTGGTTGATTACCCCAAGGAATGGTGCCATATTGAGAGCTCAGTGTTGGTCTTTGCTGCTGGCAAATTGGGCACTCAGCAGTGGCCATAGCCAGGTCAGCCTTGTGAGTGGAAGTCCATATTGCTGAGCCCATGCATAACCTCCATTCCTGCCACCATGGCCACTTTGTTCATAGGTCTATAGGGGGATATCAGGGCTGTCTGGGGAAAGAGGCTGAGTGGTGTCCACAGAATGGGTCATCCTATCCAATTGATTATTAATATCCTCTGCTGGGGTCACCTGATGGTGAACACTCACACTGGATACAAATATCTCCACAGTTTTTGACCATTCAGAGAGGTCCATCCACATACCTCTTTTCCAAATTTCTTTGTTACCAATTTCCAATCATGCTTCTTCCAAGTCCCTGACATCTAGCCAAACCATTGGCAACAGCCCATGAATCAATATGTAATCGCACATATGGCCATTTCTCCCTCCATGCAATGTGCACAACCAGGTGCACTGCTCGAAGTTCTGCCCACTGGGAAGATTTCCCTTCACCGCTGTTCAGGGATGTCCTAGACAGGGGCTGTAGTGCTGCAGCAGTCCATTTTCAGGTGCCTGCATATCATGTAGAACCATCTGTGAACCAGGCCCTAGTCTTCTCTTCCTCTGTCAACTGATCATAGGGAACTCCCATGAGGCCACTGGTGCAGGCCGGGCGAGAGAAGGCAGGGTGGGAGGAATGCAGACCATGGGCATTTGACCAAGCCACTTCCTCATGTAACTTACTTTTGCCTTCAGGACCTGCTTGAGCCCAATCACATATATACCACTTCCATTTGATGATGGAATGCTGCGGTGTATGACCCACTTTATGGCTAGATGGGTCAGAAAGCACCCAGTTCATGATAGGCAGTTCAAGTTGTATGGTAACTTGATGACCCATAGTCAAGCGTTCAGTTTCCACCAAAACCCAGTAACAGGCCAAGAGCTTCCTCTCAAAAGAAGAGTAGTTATCTGCAGAAGATGGTAGGACCTTGCTCCAAAATCCTAGAGGCCTCCATTGTGATTCACCTATGGGGGCCTGCCAAAGGCTCCAAACAGCATCCCTATCTGCCACTGACACCTCAAGCACCATTGGATCTGCTGAATCATATGGCCTAAGAGGCAGAGCAACTTACACAGCAGCCTGGACCTGTTGCAGAGCCTTGTCCTGTTCTGGACCCCACTAAAAACTGGCAGCCTTTCAGGTAACTCGATAAATGGGCTGGAATAACACATCCAGATGAGGAATGTGTTGCCTCCAAAATCCAAATAGGTCCATTAGGCATTCTGCGTGTTTCTTGTTGTATGAGGGACCAAATGCAGCAACTTCTCCTTCACTGTAGAAGGAATATCTTGACACGAGCCACATGACTGGACCTCTAGAAATTTTACTGAGGTAGAAGGTCCCTGAATTTTAGTCAGATTTATTTCCCATCCTCTGGCATGCAAATGCCTCAGCAATAAGTCATGTGTTTGCTACTTCTTGCTCACTGGATCCAATCAGCATAATGTCATCAATGTAATCGACTAGTGTGATATTTTGTAGAAGTGAAAAGCAATCAAGTTCTCTCCGAATAAGATTGTGACACAAAGCCAGACAGTTGATATACCCCAGAGGTAGGACAGTAAAGGTAGATTG
Organism: Homo sapiens; assembly: GCF_000001405.40. Lineage (NCBI taxonomy): Eukaryota > Metazoa > Chordata > Mammalia > Primates > Hominidae > Homo > Homo sapiens. The sequence goes on from NC_000005.10 coordinate 87,592,514, forward strand.
CTGACCTTGTCAGCTGAAGACAAATTTCTTCTGGTGGGCCTTATGGACAAGAACAGAGAAAAAAAGCATTTGCCAAGTCGATGGCTGCCTACCAGTTACTGGGAGATGTGTTAATTTGCTCAAGCAATGAAACCACATCTGGTACAACATTTGCAATTAAAGTCACCCCTTGGTTAACCTTATGATAATCCACTGTCATTCTCCAGGATCTGTCTGTCTTTTGCACTGGCCAAATAGGAGAGTTGAACAGGGATTTGTTGGGAATCACCACCCCTGCATCATTCAAGTCCTTGATGGTGGCACTAATCTCCACAATCCCTCCACGGATGCAATTTTTTTATTTACTATTTGTCTAGGTAGAGGCTGCTCTAATGGTTTCCATTTGGCCTTTCCCACCATAATAGCCCTCACCCTACCAGTCAGGGAGCCAATGTGTGGGTTCTGCCAGCTGCTAAGTATGTCTATGCCAATTATGCATTCTGGTAACGTGGAAATGACCACAGGATGAGTCCAGGGACCTGCTGGACCCACTGTAAGTTGGACCTGAAATAAAACTCCATTAATTACCTGACCTCCATAAGCCCCTACTTTAACTGGAGGACCACAATGATGTTTTGGGTTCCCTGGAATCAAGGTCAGCTCAGAGCCAGTGTGTAGTAGTCCCCAAAATGTCTGATCATTTCCCTTTCTCCAATGCACAGTTACCCTGGTAAAAGGCCGGAGGTCTCCTTGGGGAAGAATGGGAGAAAGATTCACTGCATAAATTGTCAGTAATCTAGTGGGGTTCTTCCTCACGGGGAGCCAGCCTCCCCTTCATTTAATGGTTCTGGGTCTATAAACTGGCTCAAGTCTGGAAATTGATTGAGGGGCCATGATTCTCTATTTTTATAATTCAAATTAGTCTTTTGTCCATTCAACCTAGAAGTTTTCTCCTTATACAAGTTAAGTAGGAATGGCAGTAGGCTTTCTATCAATTTCATTTCTAGGAATACCATGATTAATTACCCAATGCCAGAGCCCTACACGAGTCAGACTATTCTGATGGCTACTTTTTCTCTGCTGTCCATTATGGTAGTTACTCTCACCTTGCCTTTGATGGTTAACTGCTGCCACATGGCCCCTGCCACCTTGGGATCCAATTATTCCCACTGTATTTAAATTTTGTAATTGAGTGACTGTGGAGTCCACTGTTAGATCTGACATACAGAGAAGAGCAATTACAGGGCTCTTCAGAAATGCAGGTCCTGCCATCACAAATCTATTTTGCATGACATTGGTCAAGGGTATATCTTCTGGACACTCCCAGCTGGGATGAGTAGGTTTAAAGTGACTAATCCACTCCACCATCCCAATCTCCCTAAGCCTTTGGATCCCTTCCTCTACATTAAACCAAGGGAGATCAGGCATTTCCAGCACCTCAGAGTGGGCCATCTTTTAATCCATATTTCAGTTAACAAAGCTAATGAACTATTAGCATCTTGTTTAACTCCTCAAGCTGCAACATTAAATGCAGAGTCCCTACTTAGTGGGCCCAAATCAATAAATTCAGCCTGATCCAACTTTATGTTCCTTCCACAATTATCCCATACCTTTAATATCCATTCCCATGCCTGTTATCTAGATTTCTGTTTATATAAATTAGAAAACTCAAGCAGTTCTTTTCAAGTGTAGTGCATCTTCTCATGGGTCACACTCAACCTCACGTGTATGGGCCCACCGAGACTTTAGTCTAGTTATAGGTCTAGAAGCCTACCAGGGTGATCGGGGTGGCTCCTGAGGAGAATCAACATTATTTTGCCTGGCAACTGCCTCAGGGGAGGCCATCATTTCTGCCTCAGGCAGCACAGGGTTTATCTCCTCAGACTAAGGTGGAAAGGCTGATGGCAGCATAAGTCAGGGAGGGGATGTTGCCATTATTGAGGATGGGGAAGCTGTTTCTTCAGCCAAAAGAGGTTCATCAGAGTTTACAAACTCAGTGTCCCCAGCTTCATCAGGGTCTTCCCACATGCCCCCATCCCAAGTTGCAGTGTCCCATTCTTTTCCAACCAATGTCCTCATTTTAACAGTAGACACCTGGCAAGGCTGTGTATGCAAGTTTCATTGCATGTCAGCCACTCACATGATAAGAGCTTCTGTCTGTTTCTCCACAACTTCAGCTCTTTCTCTACAGGAGATAAGACTCTCATTCAGGGCAATCTTAGCAGATTTTAGGATCAGTATTTGTATTTCAAGCCAGGAGACAGAATCCCTGAGTCATCATTTTCTTTCATCAATTTGTGCACTGAACTTAGGAACAACCAACCAGCTTCATTATTTTCCTCGATTCTCCACATATGGTCAAAGATATTATGTATATATTCACTAAGCTCCTGGCCTCTCCTGAGTGGTGAATCAGGAGTGTCAAATTTATTTATTTTGCATAACTCTTTAAACACTTTATATCAAGGACTATCAGTGTTCTCCATACTATTAGAAGTAAAGTCCTCAGCATTTTTGGGTCTAATCATATTAAGCAGCCAACTCCAGAAACCCCAAACCAATGGAAGAACTCCAGCTTTAATATTCTGTTCCTCTAGAACCACTCCTGGTACCAAAATCTGTACCAGTAAGGATTCCCTAGAGGGACAGAACTAATAGGATATATATATCAAGGGGAGCTTATTAAGTATTAGGTATTAACTTACACAATCACAGAGTTCCATAGTAGGCTGTCTGCAAGCTTGAGGAAAAAGTAGAGCCAGTTTGAGTCCCCAAACTGAAGAACTTGGAGTCTGATGTTTGAGGGCAGGAAGCATCCAGCATGGGAGAAAGCTGTAGGCTGGGAGGCTAGGCCAGTCTTGCCTTTTCACGTTTTTCTGCCTGCTTTATATTCACTGGCTGCTGATTAGATTGTGTCCACCAGATTAAGGGTGGATTTGCCTTCCTCAGAACACTGACTCAAATGTTGATCTCCTTTGGCAACACCGTCATAGACACACCCAGGATAAATACTTTGCATCCTTCAATCCAATCAAGTTGACACTCATTCTTAACCATCACATTAGACCATTATTATGCTGCTATGAAGAAATACCCGATATGGGAAATTTATAAAGAAAAAGAGGTTTAATGGACTCACAGTTCCACATGGCTGGGGAGGCCTTACAATCATGGAAGAAGGCAAATTAGGAGCAAAGGCATGTCTTACATGGCAGCAGGCAAGAATGTGAGTGTAGGGAAGCTGCCCTTTATAAAACCATCAGATCTCATGAAATTTATTCACTATCATGGGAACAGCATGGGAAAAACCTGCCCCATAATTTAATTACCTTCCACCAGGCCTCTCCCACAACAGGTGGGGATTATGGGAGCTACATTTAATATGAGATTTCGGTGGGGACACAGCCAAACCATATTATTCTGCTCCTGGCTCCTCCCAAATCTCATGTTCTCACATTTCAAAACCAATCATACCTTCCTAACAGTCCCCCAAAGACTTAACTTCTTTCAGCATTAACTCCAAAGTCCACAGTCCAAAGTCTGATCTAGACAAGGCAAGTCCTTTCCACCTATGAGACTGTAAAATCAAAAGCAAGTAAGTTATTTCCTAGAAACAATGGGGGTACAGGCACTGGTTAAATACACCCATTCCAAATGGGGGAAATTGGTCAAAACAAAGGAGCTATGGGCCCCATGCAAGTCCAAAATCCAGAGTGGCAGCCAAATCTTAAAGCTCCAAAATGATTTCCTTTGACTCATGTCTCATGACTCCAGGGTATGCTGATGCAAGAGGTGGGCTCCCATAGTCTTGGGCAGCTTTGCCCCTGTGGCTTTGCAGGGTGTAGCCTCTCTTCCCAGATGCTTTCATGGGTTGGCATTCAGTGTCCATGGCTTTTCCAGGTGCAAGGTGCAAGCTGTTGGTGGATCCACCATTCTGCGATCTGGAGGATAGTGGCCCTCTTCTCACAGCTCCACTAGGCAGTGCCATGGTGGGGACTCTGTGTGGGAGCTCCAACCCTACATTTCTCTTCTGCACTGCCCTAGCAAAGGTTTTCCATGAGGGCTTGCCTTGCCATTGCAGCAAACTTCTTCCTGGACATCCAAGCGTTTTTGTACATCCTCTGAAATCTAGGTAGAGGTTCCCAAACTTCAATTCTTGACTTCTGTGAACTCACAAGCTCAATACCATGTGTAAGCTTCCAGGGCTTGGGACTTTCATCCTCTGAAGCCATGGCCTGAACTGTACCTTGGCCCCTTTTAGCCACAGTTGGAGTCGAAGCAGCTGGGATGCAGGGTAATGTGTCCCAAGGCTGCATAGAGCAAGGGGGCACTGGGCCTGGCAGGGGTGCCCTGAGTCCAGCCCATGAAATCATTTTTCCCTCCCAGGCCTCCAGGACTGTGATGTGAAGGGCTGCTCTGAAGGTCTCTGACATGCCCTGGAGACATTTTCCCAATTGTCTTGGTCATTATCACTGGGCTCCTTGTCACTTATGCAAATTTCTGCAGCAGGCTTGAATTTTCCCCAGAAAATGGGTTTTTCTTTTCTATCATATCTTCAGGCTGCAAATTTTCCAGTTTTACCCTCTGTTTCCTCTTGAACACTTTCCGCTTAGAAATTTCTTCTTTCACATATCTTAAATTGTCTCTCTCTAGTTCAAAGTTCCACAGATTTCTAGGGCAGGGGCAATATGCTGCCAGTCTCTTTGTTAAAGCATAACAAGAGTCATCTTTGCTCTAGTTCCCAACAAGCTTCTCATCTCCATCTGAGACCACCTCAGCTTCCAGGAAATTCCAAATTCTCCCACGTCTTCCTGTCTTCTGAGCCCTCTAAGTCTCTAGGGAGTTCCAAACTTTCCCTCATTTTCCTGTCTTCTTCTGAGCCCTCCAAATGGTTCCAACCTCTGCCTGTTACCCAGTTACAAAGTCATTTCCACATTTTCAGGTATCTTTACAGCAGCACCCCACTTTCTGTGGTACCAATTTACTGTATTAATTCATTTTCATACTGCTATGAAGAAATACCTGGGACTGGATAATTTATTTAAGAAAAAAAAAGAGGTTTAATGGACTCACAGTTCCACATGGCTAGGGAGGCCTCACAATCATGGTAGAAGGCAAAGGAGGAGCAAAGGTACATCTTACATGGAGGCAGGCAAGAGAGCTTGTGCAGGGGAACTGCCCTTTATAAAACTATCAGGTCTCATGAGACTTATTCACTATCATGAAAACAGGATGGGAGAAACCCACTCCCCTGATTCAATTACCTCCAACTGGGTCCCTCCCATGACACATGGGGATTATGGGAGCTACAATTCAAGATGAGATTTGGGTGGTGACACAGCCAAACCATATCACTGGAATTGTAGAATGGGTTTGGAAATATTTATTTGTCTTCATTTCTTTTTTGAAGCATTTGGGTAGAAGTAGTACTTTACTTATTTAGTTATTTATTTATTTATTTATTATTTTTTAAACTTTTAGGTGCAGGGGTACATGTGCAAGATTTTTTGATAAGTAAACTTATGTCACAGAGTTTTGTTGTACAAATTGTTTCATCACCCAAGTACTAAGCCTAGTACCCAATAGTTATTTTTTCTGATGCTCTCCCTCTTCCCACCCTCCACCCTCAAGTAGGTCCCAGTGTCTGTTTTTCCCCTTTGTGTCCATGAGTTCTCACCATTTAGCTCCCATTTATAAGTGAGAACACATGGTATTTTGTTTTCTGTTCCTGCTTTAGTTTACTAAGGATAATGGCCTCCAGCTCTATCCATGTTCCTGTGAAAGAAATGACTTCATCTAATTTTATGGCTGCCTAGTATTCCATGATGTACATGTACCAAATTTTCTTTATCCAATCTGTCATTGATGGGCATTGAGGTTGATTCCATGTCTTCACTATTGTGAAAAGTGCTGCAATGAACATTCATCTTTATGGTAGAATGATTTATATATATATTTTTGGTATATACCCAGTAATTGGATTGCTGGGTTCAGTGATAGTTTTGTTTTCAGCTCTTTGAGGAATCACCACTCTGCTTTTCACAATGGTTGAACTAACACTTACACTCCCACCAACAATGTATAAGTGTTCCCTTTTCTCTTCAGCCTCACCAGCATTTGTTATTTTTTGACTTTTTACTCATAGCCTTTCTGACTGATATGAGACAGTATTTCATTGTGGTTTTGATTTGCATTTCTCTAGTGATCAGTAAGGTTGAGCTTTTTAAAAAAATACATGCCTGTTGGTTGCATGTATGTCTTCTTTTGAAAAGTGTCCGTGTCCTTTGCCCACTTTTTAACAAGATTGTTTTGGCTCATAAATTTGTTTAAGTTCCTTATAGATGCTGGATATCAGACCTTTGTCAGATGCATAGTTTGGGTGTCATTGTGTATGAGATGGGTCTCTTAAAGATATACCATTTGATCTTGCTTTTTTTATCCAGGTTACCACTCTGCCTTTTAAATAGGGCATTTAGCCCATCTACATTCAAGATGAGTATAGATATGTGTGGATTTGATCCTGTTGTTGTGTTATTAACTGGTTATGCCAACTTGTTTGTGTGGTTGCTTTATAGTGTCACCGGTCTATATACTTAAGCATGTCTTTTTATTGGCTGATAATGGTCTTTTCTTTCCATATTTAGTGTTCCTTTTAAGATCTTTTGTAAGGCAGGTCTGATGGTAATGAACTCCCTCAGTATTTGCTTATCTGAAAAGGATTTATCTTTTGCTTAGGAAACTTAGTTTGACTGAACATAAATTTTTTCGTTGAAGATTTTTTTCTTCAGGAATGTTGAATATAGGTCCTCAATCTATTTTGGCTCATAGTTTCTGCTGAGAGGTCCACTGTTAGTCTGAAGGGGTTCCCTTTGTAGGTGACCTGCCCTTTCTCTGTGGCTGCTGCCTTTAAATTCTTCCTTTCATTTCAATCTTGGAAAATCTGATGATTATGTATCTTGGAGATAATCTTGTGTAGAATCTTGCAGGGGTTCTCTGTGTTCTCTAAATTTGACTATTGGTCTCTCTAGCCAGGTGGGGAAAGTTTTCAGGGGTGAACATATGTTTTCCAAGTTGTTTGCTTTTTTCTATCCCTTCCAGGGATGCCAATGATTCACAGATTTGGTCTCTTTACATAATCCCATATTTCTCAGAGATTTTGTTTGCTTCTTTTCATTCTTTTTTTCTTTATTTTTGGCTGATTGTCTTATTTCAGACAGCCAGTCTTCAAGTTCTGAGATTCTTTCCTCAGCTTAGTCTATTCTGTTGTTAATACTTGTGATTGTATTGTGAAATTATTGTAGTGTGTTTTTCGGCTTTATCAGATTAGTTATGTTCTTTTTTTATACTGGCTATTTCATCTGCCAAATCCTGTATGCTTTTATTGTGATACTTAGTTTCTTTGGTTTGGGTTTTGCCATTCTCCTAAATCTCGATGATCTTCAGTCCTGTCCATATTCCAAATTCTCTTTCTATCATTTCAGCCAACTCAGCCTGGTTAAGAACCCTTGTTGGAGAACTAGTGTAGTTATTTGGAGGACATAAGACACTCTGACCATTTGTGGTGCTAGGGTTCTTGCATTGGTTCTTTCTCATCTCTGTGCATGTGTGCTCTTTTAACTGCAGTATAGATTGAATACAGTCAATAGGCTTCTTTTCTGGATGTTTTAATAGGGCTGAGGCTTTGTCTAGGGTCTTTATTTGTAGCTGACCTGTCTTAGGTTTCACAGGGGAATGTGTTAGCGAGGTAATTTTGGTGTTGAAACTTTGAAGTGTGAATTAGCTGGTGGTACTTAGGCATATTGGTCAGTTGGTAGGCTCTTGATCAGTCATATGGCTCTCCTATATTTCTTCACAGTTGCAGCCATGCTCCTTCTCAATGCTCTGAAAGTATGGGCTCCTCTCCCACTTGACTGCTGGCTGTAGACTGTGGCTTGGCACTCCGGGATGCCCACCACAGCTCTGGGGTGATCTCAGGGTTTATGTTGCCTCCCCAACTTAGAGGCAACAGAGGGAAGGTGTTTATTAGTGGTTGTGGCTGAGGGTCTTTTGCTTATCTCCTGGGGGCTCCACCCCAGGGAGATGTGGGTCAGCAATTGCTCAACGCAACAATCATCCCAGGATGGGGAGATCTGTGCTATAGGCCTGAGCTAGGAGTTCCTTACCCAGTTATGAGCAGGGGGAGTGGGACCTGTGGGAGACAGACTAACCTCTTCTCCTTTGGTTGACTGCAGCTTGTTGAAGGTGTGGATAAGGCACTTAGGGTCTTTACTCCTTCATTAGTCCAAGGGTAGCAGGGGTAGTACCACTGCAGAGCAAGTGGCAGAGAAGCTTTTGGTTGCCCTGGGATCTCCACCTCTGAGAAATGTGGAGTTGCTGTTAGTGGGTGGGTTCAGTCAGTGGGGTAGGGTGGCTGCACTGCTGACATGAGCTTGAGGCTCCACTCGTTGGGGGGCAGGGGGTTGAAGGCTCACTAGAAGGAGAGACTGGTTTTCTCTCTGTAGGATGACTGTGGCATGCTGTAAGCTTGGATATAACCCTCAGGCTCTTTGTTTCTTCCCCAGACTAAGGGAAGCAGGAATAGAACCGCCGTCGTGGCAGTGGCAGAGGGCCGGTTATATGCCTCTGGGGAAACTCTGGGAACCAGGGAATCTCTGGGCCACTCCCAGTGGGTATGCTGAGCCATGGGTAGGGCGACTTTTCTGTGGTCTGAGCTTGGGGTGCTTCTTGGTGAAGATTTGGGTGTGGGGGTTCCCAGGGAAGAGGGTCTGAACTCCTCTCCATATGTCAGCTATGGTGTGCTGGAGGTGCCAGTGTAATGAGTAGGCCCTTTGTTTTTTCCCCAGCCCAAGGGATGTTAGTATGATACCTCTGTAACTGTGGTGGCAGAGAGGTTGTGGGTTCACTCTGGGGTTTCCTCCTCAGAGGAATGCTGGGCTGCCTCTGATTGCAGTGAGATAGTTTCTCTGTGCTGGGGGTCTGGACCAGCCCCTGGTCCCTACGTACTCTCCCAAGCCTGGAGACAGCAAGGGTAAGGGCTGTAAGGCAGCAAAGATGGCAACCCATCCCTCCCAATGGGAGCTCTGTCACGGGAAGTTACAGAGCTGCTACTGGCTGGATAGCCCTGGCAGGGGGTGGCTGAAGACCCAGGCCTGCAGGACCTGCACAGTGAGGAGCTTCCAGAGGGAGGAGTAGGCTGCCATCTTTGCTCTCTGACAGCCTGAATCATTTTTGCTTTCTGGCTTTGAAGAGTCTGATGGGACTCGGGACTAGAGCCTACCGCTACCACAGCAGAGCTGCTCCATGAAAAAGAGGCCAAACTGTCTTTAAAGCAGGTCCCTGAGGCTGCTCCTCCTCACAAGGCGGGATCTCCTGAAGGGGGTTTCCAGCAACCTCTTGTAGGTGTGTTCAGGCTGGCAACAGGTCTTAAACTGCTGTCGGCAAGAAACACCAGTAGGGGTGACTGGAGATCCCGGTCAGGAGATTCTGCCCAGTAAAGCAAGCGGGATCTGGGATCCACATCAAAAAGCAGTTTGACTGCTTCTTTGTAGAGGTACTGGGCTGTGCCAGGGGACTGCTCGATTTCCTAGTCACATCAGACTCCCTAGAGCCCAAGGGCAACCATGGCTAAGGCTGTGAAAGAGCAAAGATGGTGGCCCAAGCTTCCCCCCTGAAACTCCTTCTCAGGGAGGTGTAGCACTGCTTTTGGTGGCTGGCTGGATTCCCAAGCCAATGGGTATCATCCTGTGAGGTGCCGTGGAAGTAGGGCCTGCAGGCTGTAGCTGCTCAGCTCCCTGGATTTAGCCCTTTTCCCAAGGTTATGTATGGCAGTCTAACCTGATTTCCCAGAATTTCAGCTTTTGCCAGGAACCCCAGGTACCTAAGGCTCCTAGGGCTCTTCATGTAGGTTGGTGTGTTAGACATAAGGCCCTGGTGGAGTGGGTTCACAAAGGGGTCTCTTGATGCAAGGGTTGCAAAGATCCTGTGGGAGAAGTGTGGGTCCCAGGGGTTACTCACTCATTCACCGCTTCCCTGGGCGGGGAAGGCCCCCTCGCTCCTTGTTGTTCCTGGGTGGGCAGTCATCCTGCCTTGCTTTTCTCCTTTCTTTATGGGTCGAGTTGTTTCCTTGATGAGTCCCGATGCATGTACCTAGATGTTTCAGTTGAAGGTGCTGTATTTACTCTCCCCTTCCATTTCTCTCTGTGAGAGTGGTGCACACTAGCTGTTTCTAGCAGGCCATCTTGCAAAACTCCGGTATCTTCTTTAAATGTTTGTCAGGATTCAGCAGTAAGGCCGCCAGGTCCTGGGCTTTTCTTTAATGGAAGACTTTTTATTAAAACTTCAGTTTTATTACTTGTTTTTGGCTTGCTGAGATTTTCTATTTCTTCATAGTTCTATCTTGGTAGGTTATATGCGTCCAGAAATTTATCAATTTCTTCTAGGTTTTCCAATTTGTTGGTGTGTTGTTGTTCATAATATTGCTTCATAATTCTTTGTATTTATGATACCTCAGTTTTTATGTCTCTCAGAAGTTCGTCAATTTTATCTTTATAAAAATGACTTTTTGTTTCGTTAATCTCTTTTTAGTTTCAATTTTATTCATTTATGCTCTAATCTTTATTACTTCTTGTGTTTTGCTAATTTGGGGTTTGTTTTGTTCTTGCTTTTCTAGTTCACTGAGGTACATTGTTAGGTTGTTAATTTGAATTCTTTCTACTTTTTGGATATAATTGATTACAGCTATAAACTTCCCTCTTAGTACTTCTTTTGCTGTATCCCACAGAATATGGTATGCTGTATTTTCATTTTCATTTGTTTCAATAAATTTTTAAATTTTCTTCTTAATTTATTGATTGACTCATTGGTCATTCAGAAGCATATTATTTAATTTCTGCATGCTTGTGTATTTTCTGAAGTTCCTATTTTTATTGATTTTTAGCTTTATTCCACTGTGGTCAGAAAAGATCCTTGATATAATTTCCATTTTTATGAATTTGTTGAGACTTATTTCGTGGTCTAAGATACAGTTTATTCTGGAGAATGCTCCATGTGCTGATGATGAATATAATGTATATTCTGCAACAGTTGGGTGAAATGTTATGTAAATGTCAGTTAGGCATATTAGATCTAGTGTGTAGTTTAACTACTGTTTGTTGATTTTCTGTCAGGATGATCTGTTCATTACTGAAAGTTGGTTGTTAAAGTCTCCTATTATTATTGTATTGAAGTCTGTTTCTCCTTTTACATCTCTTAATGTTTTCTTTATATACTTAGGAACTCTAGTGTTGGGTGCATATATATTTATAATTGTTATATCCTCTTGCTGAATTGACCCCTTTCTCATTATATGGTTAAAATCTTTGTCTCTTTTTACACTCTTCGATTGATATTCTATTTTATCTGATATAAGTATAGCTACTCCTTCTCTTTATTGGTTTCCTGTTGCATGGAATATCTTTTTCTACCACTTCACTTTCAGTACCTGTATGCCTTTATAGGTGAAGTAGGCTTTTGAAGGCAGCATACAATTGGGTCTTGTTTCTATGTATTTAGCCACTCCATGTCTTTTAATTGCAGATATTGATCCATTTACATTTAGGGTTAGTATTGATAAGTAAGGACTTACTAATGTGAATTTATGTCTTGTTTTCTGGTTGCTTTGAGATTTCTTTCTTCCTTTATTACTGTCTTCTTTTGTGGTTGAGTAATTTTCTCTGGTAGTATATTTTAATTTGTTGTTTTTTAAATTTTTAGTGAGTGTATCATAGGTTTTTGTGCTGTGATTCTATCATGAGGCTTACAATAAACAACTTATAGATCTAACAAGTTATTCTAATGGATGACAACTTATCTTAGATCACCAATACAGGAATAGAAATAAAGACAAAAAAAACAAGAAAAACTATGCTATAACTACATTTCTCCACATTTTGACCTTCGGGTGTCTCAACTGACATTTTTTATATTACCCATCTCTTAAGAGGTTGCTGTAGTTATTATTGGTTTTGATAGACTTATCTTTTGGGTTTCAGACTAGAGTTATGAGTGATTGCCCATCACCATTACAGTAATACAGTATGCTGGGTTTGTCTGTGTACTTAATTTTACCAGTGATTTTACACCTTGAAGAGTTTTGTTCTTGCAAATTAGTGTTGTTTTTTTTTTCTTTCAGATTGAGGAGCTTCCTTTAGCATTTTCTGTAAGATGGGTCTGGTGATGTTGAATTCTTTCAGGTTTTTTTTTTAACCTGGGAAAGACTTTATTTCTCCTTCATATTTGAAGGATAATTTTGCTGGATACAATATTTTGAATAGAAATTTTTTCCTTTAAGCACTTTGAAAATGTCTTTCCACTCCCTCCCGGCCTGTATGGTTTTTGTTGAGAAGTCTGTTGGTAGATAAATTGAAACTCCTTTTTATGTTATTTGCTTCTTTTGCTACTTTTAGGATTCTCTCTTTGTCCTTAACCTTTGAAAGTTTGATTATTATCTGCTTTGGGGTAGATTAGTTGGTTGAATTTCTTTGGTGGTCTCAGACCCTCCCTGGGTATTTATATCTTTCTCAAGTTGTGGAATGTTTTTTATTATTTCTTTGAATAAGCTTTATACCTCTTGCTCTTGCTAAACTCCCTCTTGAATACCAATAATTCTTACATTTGGTTATTGAGGTAATTTTGTATATTTTGTAGGCAGTCTTTGCTGTTCTTTTGTTCTTCTCCTCTAACTGTGTATTTTCAAATAGCCAGTCTTCAAGCTGATTATTTCCTTTGCTTTGTCCATTCTGCTGTTGAGACACTCTAATGAGTTCTTCAATTCAACAAATCTGTTTCTCAGTTCCAAGATTTCTGTCTGATTTTTAAAAATCATTTCAATTTCTTTGTTAAATTTATCTGATGAATTTCTGAACTGCTTTTCTGTGTTACCTTGGAGATAACTGAATTTCCTTATAACTACTATTTTAAATTGTTCGTCAGAGAGCTGACAAATCACTGTATCATTAGGGTCAGTCACTGGATTTTTGCTTTGTCTTTTGAGGAGGTCATGGCTCCCTATTTGCTGTTATTTCTTGTGTTTATATGTCTATGTCTTTGCATTGAAGGATTATTTATACCAGTGTTCTCTGTCTGGCTTGTTTTGAGTTATACAGATGTATTTGCTTAGTAAGTCTTTACTGTTAGGTTGCTGTCTCCTTTTTCGGTCTAGGTAGCACCTTAGTTAGGCCCAAGTTTGCCTCAGATCTAGTAAGTGATTGGATCATTCCCTGTCTTGACTTGGGGAGGTCTCAAAGGATTTATCCCACTATTGTGTCAGGGCTGGCTAGGAGTTTGTGCTCAGGGGACCTGCAGAATGTACCTCCTACAGGTTGGTACTGCTGAATCAGCAACTCCTATTTGGTGTCCTCTTTCATTGAGTAGCAGAGCAGTTTCCGGGGCTGGGGATGGCAGGCCCACATCCCTGCTTTCTTTCTGCCTGTCCTTAGTGATATTTCTTCCTTCAGGCAGTCATGATCCTTCCCATGGGTTAAGGCAAGAACAAGTTTCCTGCCAAGATTGTGAGGAAGCTGGTTTATCACTTCAATCTCATTTTTTCCAGTGTGAAAAATCATGGGTTGTGGGATTTTTCCATGTGCTTGGTATTGGGCAAAATGGTGAAGGAAGGTATTGCAAATATTGAAGATTGATTCTCTTCTTATTTGCTCAGAGTTCTTTCCCTTCTTTGTGGCACCAGGAAGTGTCTCATTCATATATTTTAGTTCTGGGTTGTTGCTGGTGAAAATCTCAACTTTATGTATTTGTTTTTGGCTTTCTGTTGGGGAAGGTGTGAAGCCAGCTTGCTTCTATGCTGCCATTTTGGAACTGAAATTCTTCTAGCCAAAATATTTAAATGATACTTTTATGTGTTTCTCTAAACTTCTCATTGCATTTCCAAAAGTTGCTGTGGGGATATAGAATTTTATTTTTCATCAATTTCATCATTTTATCTTTCACCTCTTATGTTTTCCTTGTGCGTTATCGAGTTTGTTAAATAGCAAGAGCTATATAACAATAAATGGATAAAATGAACATAGATTTAATTTCTACATGCTTTAACTAAGGTTGGCTCAAGATTTGTCATGAATGTGTATATGTAAAACATTTTCTGACCTTTTCAGTAAATACTTAGAATCCACTGAAAACTATGGATCTTGATTCTCATTTTAGATGAGTCCTTAACTTAATAGGGCATAATTTTCTATTTCTGATGGAACATAATTTAAATACTTTAGGATCTACTAGGAAACACTGAAAAATATGAAACTTGAAATAGTTTGATTGATTAGGCAAATACACCACTGGCGATTTACCAAACTTATTGGGTCTTTGAGTTGAAAAATATTTTCTTATAAGTTGCTACATTTATAAAACAATAGCATATACTTCTTTTCCTCTATTTCTTACTGAGTGGCAAAATCAAATAAGTTATACTTTGAAAAACATGCTAAAATGTTACCCAAAATTATATCCAAAGCAAGAATGCCTCTAGCTATTTAATCAATGTCAAAATTTAATATTTTTAATACAGAAAAATGTCAATTAACATCAGTTTAATTAAAAAAGATATATTCTACCTATTACTTTTGAGACAGGTAAATGTCTAAAGTTGTACCAACATGATTTATGGTAGGAAGCTATTTGAACTGTTAACATAGTATTGACATTATAATTGACTGTTGAATGCATCTACTTCTTCACTTAACGTAATTAACATAAAAATTTCGCTTTTTGTGAACAGGAAGTTTATTACAGTTCAAAAATCAAACCATGTTTTATGTTATGAAAAACAAATATATGAGAAAATATCTTAGAAAGCTTTTTTACTCAGAAGCCTCATCTGGGAATTGTTTGTTAATCCACATGATTGTGAAATTTTGTATTATTTGAATATTTAATATAATTACTCACAGACTGTTTCTACTTGTCCCACACTGTGTGAAGTTGTGTGCCCATACCCTATGTTCTTATTGTCTTCCTTTTAAGATCCCTCCTATTCTGACCAGTGGACTGTCTATTCATGTGATAAAGAGAAATAATTTGCCATTTATTATTTACCTTTGCAGTTTATAGGCTGTGAATAGATTCCAACTCCATTAAATCAAATATTGTAAAGACAAAATTATAAAATTAATTTAAAAAGAACAACTAATATTTGTAGAAAAATGTCAAGGGAGTTTAAAAAGAAATTTTACTATAGCTGTCATCTATAAGCAGTTGTAGATAATACTGATACTTCATAGTCTCCAGCCAGAGAAAAGCAATGAGCATAATAAATTGGGAATAAGACATGGAAGGTCCATCACCCCCTGAGGTGACTTAGGTCATATCCAATAAAATACTGAAAGTAGGAATGAACATCAGATCATAATTCTTAAAAAGTCTAAACAAAATCACACTTCACATGTACTATCAGAGAGCCCCCTGTTCCCTAGGTAAAGATTGAAGAATGAATGGTTCAGTTCTCCAAAAGCCACTGGGAAATGTCAGCACCATCTAGTTAATGAATTCCTGATTTGTTTGGCATTTGCACTTTCTTAAGAAATTGCTGATGTGTTTAGACTCCCTGTTTTCCTCAGCAGCAGTGAAATTTGTTGATTATGATGGCCTTATATAACATCATCCAGGCAGAAAGCTAAAAGATTACACATTAAAAAAGAAACAGGCCTGTTTATTACTAGGCATTGTGCTAACTCATATGCATATGTCTGTTCCTCAGTTTTTGCCCAGGTTGCTTTGTGGAAGATGCTTTGTTAAAAGTATTTTGATGGCAGGCCTCCACTCATGAAAATGTCATTTTCTCTGCCTGGTTGTGATAGGAAGTCTTTTTCACCTATTAAACCTGTTAAATTTCCTTCATATACTTTTGTTTAACTCAGAAAAACAGTTAGTGGAGGACCATTTAAAAATATGTAAGCTTAATGATAAATTGATGTTTGTATTTAAAAACATTTTTCAAAGAAACTTGCTTCTGTACTGCTGAATAAAAGCCTGCAATGTCTGCAGATTTCATTCAAACAGGACAAACAATCCAGACTGTCTATATTCCACAGAAGTTGCCCTTAACTACTTTTCACCATGTTTGTTTTAGAAGACATTCCATCGTAGGAAGGAATCCTGCCCACTTTAGTTTGTACAAAGATCAGCTGGGTAAAAAGCAATGAAGTTAACATTATTCAATTAAAAATCTTTGGTATGACTCTAAAGTAGACACAAAACAAGTTTAATATTCTCTATCTAAATATCATTGCCTTGGCTAGGCCCATACTGCAGATTATAGCTCTTATTGTATAGTTCTTTGAACAGTAAACTAACTTAATTATCATGCTTCATATTCTTATTTATCCTAAGGGAGAAAATTTTTCTGTTAGACAGAATCATTCTGCACTTGGGAATCATGTTTCCACTCCCATGAATTTCCTGTATGTGTTTCACATTGTTCCTGAAAGACACATTTCTACTCTGGCCCTCACTTGTCCTCATCTCCCACAGCTTTCTCTCAAGCCTCTCTTGCATGTGACTTAGTTAGCTCCCAACTCCTTTTCCCCACCCCTCTGGATAAACATGTGTTACCCAACCAACACCTATTAACCTGCAATAACAACTGTTTCCTATTCAGACTGCCATTTTTGACCAACAAGTTCCCAAGTTAACTGAATTCTGACTGGTCCATTCTGCTAGAGCTTTAAAAATTCTGCCCCTTTCCCCCTAAATGCTCTTCTTTAGCATCTTCTCATGTCCGGCATTTTTAGCACAAAGGCTTATGCCAGGATTTCACAATTTCTGCAATAGTAAAATTTTGGGTTGGATAATTCTTTGTTGTGTGGCTGCACCTACTGCAAGACGTTTAGCGGTGTCACTGGCTTCTACCTACTAGAAGCAAGTAGCACACCCACCAACTTACAATAACCAAAAATGTCTGCAGACATTGGTCCCTTGGGGGAGAAATTGCTCCCCACTATCTTGCAGTTGAGAACTACTGGATAATGCTAAGAGCTGCTCTGGTTAATTTTTGTCCCGTCTTTGGTGTTATGATTTGGATCAGGATTGGGCCCTCTGCTGCTCAGCCAGAGGCACGTGCACAAGGATAGAGTCTACGGTAGATCCCATGAGGCCTCCCTCTTGGAGTCCCAGTGACAGCACAGCTTAACAAGTCATTTAGTCTGTTGGTAGGATAAAGGAAAGTGATTCTCAACCAATGTAGTTGGAGATGATGGCCAATCTTGCTGGTTTTATAGTTTTAACTCTTGGTCAAGATTAAATTTGCATAACCCAGGTTAAGTACTCGCCAAACCCTCCTAAGGAGAGACAAAAGTTCACTGAAGAATTTAGGATTGTCTTTGGGACATATAGTCTGGATCTCTTTAATATCTATCAATTAGCTCATGTCCTTATGGGATACAAGAATCTTAAAATTTCGTTAGAAAAAGCAGAACGAATTTGTGATCAGGCAGATTGATACAAAATGTATGGATAAATTTTGACTACAGATTGATATAAAAAGTGCATAAAATAGATAAGACCTCTCAGTAGCTACCTCTGAGATTTTTTTTTTTTTTCGAAATATATTGGTCAAAATCCAATCCTATATACATGCAGGAAAGAAGGAATCTACCCATTATTTCAGAGACCACTTTAACTACCACTTTCTGGGACATTTTGGTCTCCATAAGAGTTTGGATATCACAACTTCACTTCTGTATCTACTTTCATTTTGACGGTCTTAAATCTGAGTTGGCAGATTTAGTCAGAAAACAGTCAGGGCATACTGTCTCTTTCTGAATTGCAAGGGCTATGGGATACTTTAAAGGTAGTTTGTTTTAGAAAAACATATAGAAAAAATGAATAGCTTCTTAGATTAAGCAACTAGAAAAATCCAGAAACTAGGCAACCCTATGCCTAGTTTAGACAAAGACACCTGTTAATGTTATAAGGAAAAAAGAACACTAGAAGAACAGTTGCCCTACCTTGGAACAAAAGATAGTATTTAAAAAGAAAATGACAAACTGTCTGACAGACTAATGCACCTAAGAGTAAGTAGTTGCTCTGGTCTGTCAACAATCGCCCTTAACAAAAAAGGGATAGATTCCCATGCAATTGCAAATACAGAATGGTTTTTTGCATTTCTTCTTGATACTGAAATCAAAGCAGTGTATTAGTTTTGATTTAAAACAGTATTTGAAAGGAAGACCAGCCAAACTCGCTATTGTGTTTCATGGGTTCTGTCATAGCTTCAGAGTTTCTTAGTTTCATCTTTTCCAGATTTACAAAGAAGAATAAAATAGAGAAATAGTAAGAGGAAGTGGAAAAACACAGAATCACATTCAAATTTTAAAAAATAATAATTTCTAGAAACTGTAATTAAACTATTAGATTCAGCTCATATTTATTGACTTCTTATCAGAACCTCATTAGAGTAATGATTAAAGAATAAAAGTTATAACTGGTTTATAGAATGGCCTGGAATTCGTGGACATACAAGAAAAAATAGACTCCATTTTTTTTCTAATCTCTGTTTTTAAGTGTGCAAAGTCAAATTTATTCCTTCTTCACCCTGAAGATTTCCCAGGTATATCGGATATATATTTCTATTACTTTCAGATAATAGGACAGTTTCATTAGTCTAATCCAAACCAAAATTTCTGTTTCATATGCATTTCAAACATTTCTTCCCACCTGTTCCCCACTCCCAGCCCTAGTTGATGTTTGACTCATCCTTGGAGACCTTCAACAAAGTAAGGAAACATGTTCTGTATTTTCCCTGTTTCTCTCAGCTCTTCTGCTTCTCTCCTTTCATTCACTATCCTGTCTTTGGTTCTTCCAAGATTGAAGTTGGAAAAAGTTATGAGTAGTAAAGGAAAATAAAATGTCTATTTAGCTAATACTATTCATAACTCTTTCTTGGATGCTAGGTTCACTTTCTGGCAGATGTCAATACGTTGTCTTCCTCCTATGAGGTACTTACATGTCTTTGTATGTACACTTTCTCCACCTCCACCTTACTGGAGCTGGGAGTCTCCCCCTTACAGTTCTGTGACATAAAGTGTTCATGCTGTGGTTGGCCTGTTATGACTTCTCAACACCAACCCTGGCAGAATAGTCCATTTTCTTTCTGTTGCTGTGGCCTTGCACCAGACATAGTCACCTTATGCAGTGACCTTTTAAGTCATCTATAGCCAAGTTGCTTTCTGTGACATTTACTATTTCATGGTGAAAAACAACAACAACATTTTTTTTTCCTACCAAAATCTGAGTGATGAGGTCGTAGCCACTGGAATTCCCTCTCTTCAAGCAAGTTTCCACTTGAGATGAAGCCGTCAGATTTTGTAACTCCAAGCTTCAGGGAAAGCAAGTCAAATTTTCCAAGAGTTTTCTTACCATGCACTTCTCTGGTACTATATACTATAGTCAACTATAAAGAAAAAAGAGGCCGGGCGCAGTGGCTCACGCCTGTAATCCCAACACTTTCGGAGGCCGAGGGGGGTGGATCATGCGGGCAGGAGATCGAGACCATTCTGGCTAACACGGCGAAACCCCGTCTCTACTAAAAAAAAAAATAGCCGGGCGTGGTGGTGGGCGCCTGTAGTCCCGCGTATTCAGGAGGCTGAGGCAGGAGAATGGCGTGAACCCAGGAGGCAGAGCTTGCAGTGAGCCGAGATCTTGCCACTGCACTCCAACCTGGGTGACCGAGCGAGACTAGAAAACTATAATTAACCTTCAAATTTTAAAGAAAAAGTATTTTCCACCTAGAATTGTATCCTTATCATACTACCCATCAAAAGTAAAGATAGAATAAAGTAATTTCAGATATGCAAGGATTTAGAAAGTTTACCTCCCATATGCAACTGGGAAATTTACTTGTGGTTGTACACCATGGAAGCAAGAGAGTAAACCAAAAAAGAGGCTATCAAGGGCTTCAAAAAACAAGAGTTCCAACTCAAAAAAGCAAGGAAAAAACAACTGTTTAGTAGGGCTAGATGACAATCAATTTAATGTGGAACAGAATGACTAAAGTCTGCCTCAGAGAAAGATAAAGATTAAAAAAGGTTTCAACGTAGTTATATTATGATTAAGAGTTTGAAAAAACTTGATGATATGCAAAATACAGATAAAATAATCAATATTTATTATTCCACCAGCTGTGAGTTCCTTTCTCATGAAAGGATAGGAATCGGACTCTATTAATCATTGCATCCCAAGTACCTATCTTTGTTTCTGACACTCAGAAGGCATAAAAAACATACTTTTATTAAGTCAACTGTTGTTAATTGTTATTATTGTTCTTCTCTAAGCAGATGTATTTGTGACTGACTTCTCCCTCTCCCTATAATTTTTATATCTGACAGCTGTGCTATTTATCTTCTTTGTGATACTAAATACCTGTGCTAATTTACAACTCTTATACAGGCTTATATATTGATAGTTAAATATAAAAGTACTAATAAGATTATAAAAATAATTATCAAATTACAAGGAAGACCTAGAGAATGTATTAAAAGACAGATTCCCTAAAATTCACATTATTGCATCTGGGATGGAGTAAAAAAATCGAAATATTGAAGTTCACTTCAAGCGATTATGATGCAAGTGGTCTGTGTGCCCCCGTTATTAGAACTATGCATTATAGACTTTACTGATTCATAAGGAATTCAGAATTAACTAGGGTGGATATTATTTTCATTTTTTTCTAATGTAGACAACACATTTTTCCCCAAACTCATCACCCACTTTTCACTTGAATAATTTATGCGAAAATGAAACTGGAGTTAATATATTGTTTTTAAAGGGTAGGTGGTATTGTCCCCTCAATAGGAAAAAAAATCAAAATTCTTTTTCGTTTATTTATTCTGCCTCAGTTATACGCCATGGCAGTAAATTAATTTCTCTATATCTATATTTTTCTATTAACATTGCTACTTGTGAGCTGTTTAGACTTATGGCTTTCTGAGAAGAAATCTGAGCATGAAGGAATAAAAATAATTCGGATTGCTCCACTAACATGCCTTTATAATGCTAAAGTTGTATTGTTTAAATATTATTTCAAAAACTTATTACATTATTAACTTCTCAGGTTTGAAATTCTTTTCTGAATGTTCCTAAGTTTTCCTTTTCTAAATTATTCTACAGAGTATTCTATTATGCAGCACATGTAGCTTTGTTCATTCATTTATAGATGCATTTCCTTAAGAAGTGGTGCATTAGTGATCTTCACTATATACAATGAAATAGAAACGATGCATTATTTTCCTTTCCAAGAAAACTAAATTGATGCACAGAATGATTGTTTGCTAGCAGCTGAAATTGCAGCAGAGGGGTACACTTGCCTTATTAAGATGGAATTTCTGGTTTTATTTATTCTGAAAAAAAAAAAGCTCTATCCCCAAATAAAGGATTAGTCTAGGGACCTGGTACATCAGTGATGCCATATCGAATAGAGAAGTGAGTGGGATGAATATTATTATCTCAGTCTTTATATTGGTTTATTTGTGGGTAGGAAAAAATGAAAAATTGGAGAAAGTATTAGTTCACATTAAAAGGTAAAACACGAAGAGGCCACTGTCAATTCAGGCTATGCTTGTTGATTTCCAAATAACAACTTGTCTCTGGAGTCATTAAAAGTATTGCTCTCCTGAGAAGAGGCCGAGGCTCTCTGCCTTTGAAGCTGAATAAACCTGGTGTATCATTTTGTCATTCTTTATGAGAATAGTGGCCCTGAGGATCTTGTTTCTTTCTTTCTTTTTTTAAGCTATCAAAGATTATCTATGCCGCCTCCTTTGCAAAAGGATGTAGGTACATACATTTAGTAAAATTTGTAAGTTATGAAGCTGTAGGTATTTCAGTTCTTTAGAGTTAACATTTCTCTAAGGAGATGTCTCTAAGATTTCTCTAGGGAGATTAAATTCATGGGTATAATTGGCTAACATTTATTTTGCATTTTGTTTAAACAAAAAATTATTCTGTTCATTTAGGTATAGTATTTTAAAAATCCAAACAGAATACATATTCTTAATTTAGAAAATATGTGAATTTTAAACTAATGTGATAATAGGTGGAAAACAATACAGAAACTTAAGGTATTGTTTTAATGTTTTATATCTAGATATATGGATAGAGTTTGCCCCACCAGTGCTTTTCCTGGACAGGTTGAAACTGCCCTTGTCCTGCTGAGGCTGTTTAGATGACAGCTGATGCAGATCATGTCTGGAGATGCATCTCCTTAAGAAGTGGTGCATTAGTGATTTCCACCAGGCACTTCATACTATAACTGGGAGGAGGAGAGGGGAGAGCACAAAGTTCTTAGAGTGAGATGAAGTCAGTTACATTTAGGGAATAATTATGTTACAGTTAGGGGATATTTTGTGAAGAGCGAGTGTTCTCCCAAGCCATGATGTTTCATTAATAAGGGTTAGTTAGGTTGCTGAGGAGTATTAACTGTTTATCTGACTGTTTAAGGTATGTGCTTTTGAAAGGCTCTCTGGAGTCACGTAGTCTAGTGTCCCCATCTTGGTAACTCCTTTCTCAAGAACCTTCTAGGGTTTTAAGGTGTCACAGCCCCTCTTTTACTCTTCTGAAGTTTATTTCACAAGGCCATTTAAAGTATAAAAATGTAAAGTGTAATATGGAGATATTTATTGGCCATTAAGATCATTATTTTACTTGTATTTACTGGGTGTCACTATTTTGGTAAATAATGCAAAGATAATTAAGTAATTCAGAAATTTGCATTCATTTCGATTTATGTTAACTCTGAGGGGTTTTGTATTAGTTCATTTTCATGCTTCTATGAAGAAATACCCAAGATGGGTAATTTATAAAGAAAAAGAAGTTTAATGGACTCACAGTTCCATATGCCTGGGGAGGCCTCACAATCATGGCAGAAGGCAAAGGAGGGGCAAAGGCATGTCTTACACAGCAGCAGGCAAGACAGCAAGTGTAGAACTGCCCTTTATAAAACCATCAGATCTCATGAGACTTAGTCACTATCATAAGAACAGCACAGGAAAAACTCACCCCCATGATTCAATTACCTTCCACTGGGTGCCTCCCACAACATGTAGGGATTATGGGAACTACAATTCAAGATGCAATGTGGGTGGGGACATAGCCAAACAATATCAGGCATTGTTTGATTTTCCCTCAAAATTTTTAAAGTCAATTTAAATAAAACATATATTTCTTGGTTCATAGGAAATAATTAGTGGGCTTTTAACATCGGATATTTCTTGGTGGTGAGTCCATATTTTAAAAAAAGCAAACAGAAAACATGGAATATAACCACAGAAATGACAGCTAACTTGGGATGTGAAAAAGGAAAAAAAATTAAGAATAGTCAAGTTTAGAATACTGATAAGGGCTCATTTCACCAGCCTGTCTCTACTACTGGGGCATAATTGTGTCCGTTGTAAATAAGTTTTATTTAGACATAAATTGTGATCTCTAAAGAAGAATAAAAGCTTTTGAAAGCTTTTTTCTTTAAGGCCCTTCTTAACATAGCTAAGTGTTTTGGCGCTCACTAATATGCTACATTTTTAAAAGTTTTGTGATCTTTGATTGCATACTGTTTACACAATTGAAAGTACTTTAAAATTAAACAATTGAAGCAAGAAAAATTACCAGTTGAGTATCTTGCAGCTCATTTTTTGTATTTTAGAAATTACAGTATTGTGTTTTATTATAGCATGTCTTATTGTATATTTCTGTACCATTATTTCTATTCTACTAAATTTTGTATATCCATTTTGATTCCCATTCAAATAAATTTAGTTCTTGTAATTATTCAGTTTATTTCATTTTCTGTTAACTTAAAGTTCACATAAATAGAATTAAAAGAATTTAGGACTTTACTTTTTCTATCATCTGGGATACTTTTTGGGATAAATAAAAGATGGGGAAATTCTAACACCAGAATTTCAAATGAGTAAAACTTAAAGGAACACATAAAAAAAAATAAGTAACCCAGTACTGAATTTTAAAAATTCTAATTTATTATTTGTAGTCACACTTGAAAATATTGATTCATTTAGTACAAATTTATTATAGTCTTTTCTGTGTAATGACTGTGTTTACATTTAAAGAATTTTCTAAAGAAAATATTTTGTTTATATCACAAGCATCATAGTTGTTTTAAAATATTCAATCTGATATAACTGAAAATTCATTAAATTTCTTACTCAGGTTATGAAAGATGTGGAGAATTATAAATACATGTATACTAATAAAGGCTTGCCAATTGTAGTAAATTAATAATTTATAATATTACCACTATTAGAAATATATATAACTTATATATTTGAAATTAATCTGTAACATACTTACTTATGGTAAGGTGATTCCTATCCTTTCTTTTATGATTGTTTAATCTGTTTCTTATTTATAACATTCTTGATAACATTTTGTTTTTAATTCCCATAAACAAAATCTTGTTTTTTAGGTGAAATTTCTGGGAAAAGTGAAGCCCAATAAAGCCAAACTGCATGCTGAGGATCATAAGGTTGATTCGAATCAGCATCAGAACCCACGATTATCTCTGACTTAGATCACTTCATAGTACCTGAGCCCCATCAGGAAGTTCCTGAATATAAATGTTTTCATTCTATTAACTCATTAGAAGAGCTTTAAATGCCTTCAGAAAACTGCTACCATTTTTTACTAGTCTGACTTAACCCAATTACTCTGTTGTTTCTTGATTAAAATTGGTCTCTTTTATTTCTGAGATCCCTTCTTATTTACATACTATGTAATGTTTATGATTAATCTGAAGATGATAGTGTGTCTGTAAAATATCAGGAGAGCTGGGAAGATTTCAGAGATCCAAATATCACCAAAAAAGGAAATCCTTGATTTTTTTTTATTTAAAAAGCAGATACGTACCTATGAACTGGCATTGTACAATGTTGAAGTACAAAATAAAGTAAGAATTATTAATTATAAATATATTAGCTAGTTTATTGAGCAAAGTAT
This sequence comes from Homo sapiens, assembly GCF_000001405.40. NCBI lineage: Eukaryota > Metazoa > Chordata > Mammalia > Primates > Hominidae > Homo > Homo sapiens. The sequence continues at coordinate 87,617,480 of NC_000005.10, forward strand.
TTGCTTCCCTAGGTAAAAAAATTAAGTTTTATAAGCAATAGATAGACAAAGACAAGAGAAAAATCATCATACAAATATGTTAGAAGGAAGCTAACTTAAAATACACACTCATGGAAATTGAGCTATTGAAACATAATTAAGTTGAAAGTTTCATAGATGTCATGTTGTATTCTTAAGCTTATATTTCCCCAAATATGGTCTTGTGGAATATCAGAAAATTACATTAATATCAGCATTCAAAAACACATTATCATATAAACTTTTAAAATGGCAATTAGAGTGGGATAGCTTTTGCCTTGAGTTAACTACATGGGATAGTATAATAGTTACCCCAAAATGCCAGTGTATCTTTGAGTATGCACTTTGAAGCTAAGCCATAGTCTATTTTTAGATGATGGTGTTACAGATCTCCACATGTATTCAACCCAACATAATGTGCCTATTTTACACCCACACTGAAAATAATGTGTGGTATGGCATGAGAATTTAATATTAATTCCGTTTGATTATGCAGTTTAGAAAACCTGATTGATTGCAATTCAAAGAACACTTAAATTCATTTGTTCCATCTCTCTTAATTAGACTGCTTGGCTTCTTTTATATAATTTGAAATAATAAATTTATTGCTGGACAGGTTTGAACAAACACAATCAATTAATTGGTATTGTGCTTCTATAGTGAAGACCCCAGCAGAGAGAAGGCTGTTTGACATGACGATGAGCCGTGGGATATGGGAAAAGACATTTTACAACATTTATTTATTCAGAAATGCATTGCAAAACTAGCCTGTTGAGAATGAACTGTTACTTTACAGAACAGTTTCCCAAATCATACATAAGATTTCAGTAGTATAGTAGGCATAGAAGATAATTAACAGTATGAGAAATATTCAGAACCTAATAGACTTGCAAAACACAGGTAGATATAATGCAACTTTCAGCCACAATTTTCCTATCTTGAATTCAACTCAGCTGAAATGCAGGTTATTTTTCTAGCTGTTAAATAGAGCATAGTTTGAATCTTTGTAGAGTGACTATTCTTAGAGTGTAACCAGATTCCTCTTTGCACGCAAATTTTCTTATTGTTTATTGTTTACCTTCAGATGCCTCTCCTACTCCTCCTGTCTTCTCTTACCCACTCCATACAAAATACTAAACACAATAATACAAATGGGGAATTTTTACAAATGTATATGTTCAGTGTTCATATCTCAACAATCATCTCCACCCACTTTTCCTCGATGGAGACAACAGACCAGAGCAATCATTGGCCACTCAAACGCTACTGCCTACTTCGTCTTATCCCAGAATCAGCAAAATGAGACATTGTGGAATCTAGACTTGCTCCTGTAGTGCAATTAATTTGGCTAAGGAGATCAATTTTCTTACCCACATACCCCCAGTTCGAAACCTTGACATTATTTGCACTGTTCCTCTGTGTCAAAAACTAGAGTTGGAGTTGAGAATTCTGTTTAATTGAACTAAATCACTCCAAAGCTGAAATTTTTGTATGTGGAAAGGAGGGTAGATTATAATGAAATGTGTGCGCACTTACACAGAAAGGCAAACGAGCTGTAGTAAAGTGATTGTGGACTCTAGGGAGCCATTTGAAGATACGGGAAATGTTATTACTGATGGCAGTGGTAATAGATACTGTAGAAAGAGGTTATTTTTTAAGGACATTGAACTTCTTTTCCCCTCCTTTGAGTTCTCGCACTAATTTTGCCCTGTTTTCTTGTCTTTGCTAGAAACAACAACCATTATTTCATCCAATCTATATGTAATATATAAGTGAAAAGGCAAATGTTTGTTGCAGACTGCTTTTTAGAGCAGATAACTTCCAGAGGATGAAAATGTTTATTATTTTTTACTTGTTGTGTTGCCTTGCAAATACCCTATATATAACAAATAATTCTGATTATAATGAAGATGAGTATATTTGTCACTGGGAAAATTCAGTTCCTAAGGAATTTTTTTCTAAGTGACATGCAGCTAGTTTGTGCCAACTTTGGTTTTATAAGTTATTACCTGACAAAACTATGTGAAGCCAACTTCTGGAGCTTAAAAATATTAGATATGTCACAATGAATGAAGCATCACATTTCGCATGTTTTTATTTTTTTGTTCTTCACAGGCCCCCTGCAGCGCCACTGCTGACTTCTGGGTGGCACTGTAGAATTTTAATAGTCCCAATTTCAGGCACAATTTGTTTTTTGTTGAAGTGTCAGACCTATTTTAATGGGAGCAAAAATCATGCAACTAGTCAGGTACAAAACAGCTTAGGGGAAATATCAGAGAATGTAGGAAAATAGACATTGCAATGACAGACTTTCATTTATAGCCTCAATTTACATATTCAGATCCTTACATTCTTTCAAAAATAACAATGAAATAAACACAATAATCAAAAACATGAATACAGTTCCTTATGTGATTCATTTGCATGTGGATAAGAAGGTATTTGAAATAGGACGTGATCACCTTAGGAGATTAATAACCAAGCTAGTGTTGTAATGGCCTCAAAGAGGAAAAGGGACTTTCTCAGGAATTATTTCTTTCATAAAGTGAACAATCTTGTCCAGTGCTGGACAGCATATACCTTGGGATGAATAAATTATGATTGTAAATGAGAACAGAAAAAGTGCCCGCAACATATAGTCATACACTTGTGGTAACAAGAGGACAATGTCATTTTCTGTACAAATGCAAAGGGAAAAAATGATGTTAATAAGTCTTACTAAGTTTCAAGTCTTAAACAGGGATATGTAAAGCAGAAAAATTTGGGAAGATACAAAACTGTGATTATCTTTGTTTGGGCAATGATGGAATATCTAGCTGAAATTATCTCTAGATCTTACATCTTATTCTTGTCAATCCTGTATGTTTATTGTTATCAAAAGTCTCCTCAATTGCCTATTTATCCAGGATTTAAAGACTCAGCTTAAATATAAAGAATAGATCACAAAATTTTACCAAATAGATCATATAAATGATGAAATAAAGCAATGCAAGAAATTGAAGTGCTTTCTAAAAACAAAAAAATCATAATGCATACAATTTTCTAAGTGCGTTTTATCCCATGGGAAAGTTCAGACTTAATAATATCTGAAACTGTGCCATCCTGCTTTTATCATATTTCATATTGTAATTAAAATAACCATAGTAACAACTGCAGAGATGTCCTTCCAAAGAAATATTTACAATGTGACTTTTATATTATATACATATGCATGTGTTTTCCTCATATATACTTAATATGTTCATCAAAGACATTTGTATTTTATTTTAATTTACTTTCACAAGTAACTTTAGAATATTATGGCATTAAATGTTCTTTTCAGGAATAAAATCTAACTTTATAACACAAGGGATTAACCTATTAAGTCTTGATAGGAACCAATTAACTTGTTAAAGCGGGATCATCTGCATTTTAACTCAGAGAAAATTGGTTAATTGTACACAGAAACATTTCCTTTAAAGGTGTAGGATGAGTCAAGCACAACTATCGAGAATGTTTGCGTTTAGCAAATTCTACTTTGATAATTGTTGCATACATATATAGTCTTAATAAATAGTAAGTTCCTTGAGAACATGGATTATGTTTCATTTATTTTTAATATTTTTTGTGCTCTTAGTACACTATATTAAAATAGTTATCATTCAATAAGTGCTTATTAAACAGATAAGATTTACATTTTATATATCCATGAGTAGTGTTGCAAGGAAAAGCTTACACTTACTAGAAAGATAATATTTCATAGATGAACACATGAAAACATTTTGAAATAACTTGTAGCTATTTCTGTATTCCAGGGAACTTAATTCCTTCCATATGAAATTCCTTTTATTATCATATTTATTTCCTAAATGATACTACATCATTGACTCAAATTTTTTGTACAATAATCATTAGATTCTTCCTTGTTCATGGACTCCCTCCCCATTTCCCCAAATCCTTTCCCATTTCCCCAACTCCTTCCTTTGAACTTCCAATTGAATTTTGTCTGCACTTGGACAATAACACTTTCTTCTTTTCAGTTTTTCTTATTATTTATGTCTTTTATTCATATATATATTTGTGTCTTATTTACCCTTCTAGATTGCTCCTTGAAAATAGGATCTACATTTGTTTCATCTTAGTACCCCTCTAGCAATTCACAGAACATACTAGCAATTCAATGAATTGAATGGATAAATAAATCATTAACAATTTATTAAGTACCCACTCTGTGTACAGCAGTGTGTGGGACCCTGAGGATACAAAGAAACATAAGAGATGGCTCTTGTTCTAGAGGAGCTTATGGTATTTAGGGGAAAACGCATATGTGCATCAAAATATAACCATAGGTATTTATGGGTTCACAATTTCCATCACTTTTGCTTATCTTTCTTTATATTTAAAGTTTTAAAAAAATAAAGTTCACTTATTATAGTACAACTTATAAAATAGTCTTCATGGAAATAGTTTTATTCTTTTATTTTGGCATGAACTGAATTCAAATTACAACTTTATCAAAACCAAACAGCTGTCAAGCCTTCGTGAGACTCAGCATGAACCTTCTCTTTGGGTAGGTGCACCTCTATGCTTACATATTGTTCCTCCTAAAAAATTACAACAGTTGCGTGTGCATGTAAATACAACCAGAGGCAGGCCTACAGAGAGAATCAGGCATAAATTGTAAAAGTAGTTTATTATTCCTTTGGATTCACAGGGTAAATTATTCATATGTGACTCTGTGAAGCACATCGAGTAAGTGGACTATTTTCCCACTCTACTTTAAATATCCCCACTCCGAGCTTTAAAAGTACTAGCAATATATTTTGGGGAGAAAATCTATACATTTCTCTTAGCTAATATCTAACTGAGGGCTGTCAAACAGAAGACTTAAATGTAGCATATACGATTTTCTTTTAAGTCATACCATTCTTTTTTCCTTTCTAATTAAATATTTTTAGAGGATACTAAGCATCGAGAACACAAAACAGATATGAACTTAGTAACTACCGTGAAAAGTTCAAAAGAGGCATAAGGAGAGAATCGGATCTTCAAAGCTTGATCCTTCCCCTCTCCAGTAGATCTTGCCTAAAGCACCTATGTATTTCCATTAAAAAATGCTGCAGTTGTTATATCTTTTTCCCTTTTTAGCATTATGTAACAGATTTTGGCTGTATTTAAAATTTTTAAAGAACTATGTTTTAGATGATAGGTATTTTAAACTACTAAATAGAGTATTGATGTGTGAGCAGATATTGTCTCATTTTGCACTCTGCAGCTGAATGCCTGAGGCACCGCCAGGTAACAGTGGAAGAGATTTCAAGAAGCAGACAAGTCTCTATGCACCCATGCCAGCCAGCAATCAATCTCCTTCTTTCCTGCCCTCCCCTCTGTAAATCTATTTACAGGCAATTGCATGTGCAAACGCACACATATACATATTACATAAAAAGAGTTTCCTCTATATGCTTAAACTTTCTCAATGGTATCCATATTTTTCATTTTTCTGATATTTGGATAGGTCAGACAATCAGTGTACACATTCAATGTGGTATTGCATCTTGTTTTGCAGAAAAGTTGTCATAATCAAAGCTAAATAATCTTGCAATCAATGGCATTTTAGAATAGAAAAAAGATTATGAGTATGTGTATGATTTTCACTTTCCTTACTTAAAGTTCATTGACTCGAAGATACCAACTTGGCTTTTTCTCTTCTGTTCCATTCTGTTCCTGTCACTCTTACACATTCTACTACATTTCTAAAAGAATAGAAAACAGTGGTCTGCTCCACTTTACATAAAAAATACCTTCTTTAAAAACATGTGTAAATGATGTAAAGAGATGAAGAAAGTTGCTATTTAGAACAGCATTCTTTTGAATTACTTCATAAAGTGAAGGTCTTTTGGTAAAAAGGAAACTTCAACTTACCTTTGCTTTCTAAATATTTCAAGCTACATAGGTTGAATTTAGTAACATTTAATTGCTTTATTTCAGGAGCACCTCTTGATGTATTTGGGTGATGATACAGACACAAACTGATATCTGAGAGCTGGACACATAGTAGGCTCACAAATTGTCTTTTGTTGGAATGGATTTAAATGTTAAAGTGATTTGTAAATTCTCATTTTATAAGCTTTTGGACCAAGATAAAAATGATTCGATTAATGATTTTATTATCTTGTTTTAGAAATTTAGAAAGAAAGACTAAAGTCAGTTTCCGTGGCAATAAAAGTTTGACATCTTTAGGGAGGAATTATCGTGTGTGTGTGTGTGTGTAAAATCTTATATGCAGTATACTTTATATTGGATCAGCAAATTTATTTGTGTGAAAGTTGCAGTATTAAGTCCTTGTTTGTCTGTGTGTATCTGAGAGACAGAGAGTGTGTGTAAAGTATATAACAAGCAAAATATACAACAAATTCCAAACCAAAGTTTATGAATTGAATTAAAATCTTGCAGAGGGTGTTCAGACAGTTTTTCAACGAAGAAGGAAAATTGGTTTAAATAATATCTCAAAATAGCACAACTTGCAGCAAGTATATAATTTGTGAAGTAATTGGGTAATTAATTGAAAAACAAATGTTAAGCAGTGCGCGAAGCTTGTCCATCTTTCAAAAACTGAAGCTCAGATGGCATATGGCAGAATATAAATGCATCTCTTTTCTGTGGTTTTGAATGTTAATTTTACAGACTGTTCTAGTTCATCCAATTTGTAATGGTAAAGATAAATTTTAATTCACAAGAAAATATATTATTTAATACAAAGCTTATAGTTTTGTTTTTTCAAAATTAATACAAGTCTTATGGAATATTCCTTACTCTTTTAGGATATCTTTACTTTCTTAAATTTCTTCCATCAATATTTTCTTTCCTCAGTATTTTCCTAAGGTAGATTACAACTTAGGAAACATGGTTCTAGTCACAATTCAAGGCCACTCTGTGTACCTTTATATACCTTTATTGTTTCAGTTTTCATTAATTCCCCCCATACACACCAAGCTTCGATCTCACAGAATTCCTCTCTTCCCACCTCCAGCTCCCAGCCCCAGCCCACACAACATGTGCCAATCTCTTTGGAGATACTGTGCTTCTTTCCAAAATGCCTGTGCTCATCTAATTACCTGGAACCTGCCTTCTCTTATTTTTTTGCGTGATAACCCTCCAGTCACCTTTCAACACTCCATTCCAACACAGCCTTCTCTAAGACAGTATCTTCTTTCTCAAGCTGAGTTAGTTCCTCCTTCCTTTGAACTCCCCTTGTATTTGCCCATTGTATTAGAGATCTCTTTTTTATGAAGCTGTCTCTCCATCTAGATTAAATTCTACTCAAAGGAGGAGGTCATGAGTAATTAGTATTTGTATCCTCAGTACGCAGCACAATGTCTGAAATATACTTAATAATGCTAATAAATTTTGATAATATTTTGCTTGAGAAAAATAGCAGTTGTCTTCAAATAGTAAGGGGATTAAAAACTCTAAGTTCTTTGAGAGGCTGAAGTGGGCAGATCGCTGGGGGCCAGGAATTGGAGAACAGCCCATCTTTACTAAAAATAAAAATTAAAAAAAAAATTAGCCGATTGTGGTGGTGCGCCTGTAATTCCAGCTACTCGGGAGGCTGAGGCACAAGAATTGCTTGAACCGGGGAGGCAGAGGTTGCTGTGAGCTGAGATTGTGCCCCTGCACTCCTGCCAGGAGACAGAGCAAGACTCTGTCTTAAAATAAAATAAAATAAAACCAAAAAACTCCCACTAAGTTACTAAGAATAATACATAATAAATAACAGGTAAACAAATAACTGAATAAAGGAGTCATACAATCTTTTTATTATTATTATTATACTTTAAGTTTTAGGGTACATGTGCACAATGTGCAGGTTAGTTACATATGTATACATGTGCCATGCTAGTGTGCTGCACCCATTAACTCGTCATTTAGCATTAGGTATATAGGAGTCATACAATCTTAAAAATTGAGAAAGAGAGAGAAGAAAATAACTTAGACAGCTTGGTAAGCTAGCTTGGTTAGCTAGCTAGGTAAGTTATTTTCTTCTCTCTCTCTCCCAATTTTTAATCTTGTATGTATGACTCCTTACTCAGTCACTTATAAGTATAAATCTTCTGCCTAAGTATAGGGGCTGAGACGCAGTGTTTGAGCCAGAGTTTTAAGTTTACCAAGGGTGACTTAAGGAAAAATTACTTAAATTTGCATTTTTTGTTTGAAAAGTAGGGAGAATATGAATACTAGCCACACAGATTGGTCAGGAGGATCACATGATGTCATCTATGTAAAGCTCACAGAATGGTGCTATCATTCAATAGACATTAGCTATTACTATTATTATTATTGTTTTGAGACGGAGTTTCGCTCTTGGCCCCCAGGCTGGAGTGCAATGGTGCCATCTCAGCTCACTGCAACCTCTGCCTCCCGGGTTCAAGCGATTCTCCTGCCTCAGCCTCCCGAGTAGTTGGGATTACAGGCATGTGCCACCACACCTGGCTAATTTTTGTATTTTTAGTAGAGATGGGGTTTCACCATGTCGGCCAGGCTGGTCTCAAATCTACTATTCCACTTTGTATTAGTCCTTTTCACACTGCTATAAAGAACTACCTGAGACTCGGTAATTTATGAAGAAAAGAGATTTAATTGACTCAAGTTCCACAGGCTTAACAGGAAGCATGACTGGGAGGCCTCAGGAAACTCACAATTGTGACGGAAGGCACAGCGGAAGTAAGCACCTTCTTCACGTGGTGGCAGGAGAGAGTGAGACAGAGGGAGGGGGAAGTGCCACATATTTTTAAACCATCAGATCTCATGAGAACTTATTATCATGAGAGCAGTATGGGGAAAACCACCCCTATAATCCAATCCCTTCCCACCAGGTCTCTCCCCCAACATTGGGAATTATAATTCAAATGAGATTTGGGTGTGGACACAGAGCCAAACCATATCACACTTTATATTTTATAAAATCTAAAACAAGTGTTTCTAACGAAATGTTGGTGTTTAAATTGAGATATGCTGTAAGTGTGAAATATACAATAGATTTTGAAGGCAATATGAAAAAGATAATGTAAAATACCTCATTAACACTTTTATGTTAATTATATGTTGAAATGATTATTTGGGATCTATTGAATCACATAAAAATATGTTCCTAAAATTCATTTCATACTGCTTTTTACTTTTAAAAATGTAGCTACTAGAAAATTTTAAATTATATATGTGGCTTTTGTTATATTTTGATTAGATTTAACTTGGATTGTATAATTGCTCACTATTAATATTTTAATATTTTCTACTTTCCATTGTCTTTTTCCTGTGGTGTATGATATTAGTGATAAATACTATCACTAAATTATAAAATTTACTAAGTCACAAAACTATAAAAATTATTAAGTATTTTTACTGGACACTCTGAGCCCTTTTCCTAAATCATTATTTACTAAGGATATTGGAATGGTAAATATGGAAATTATTTTCATTACTAATCTGCAGATTATCTCAGTAATTTTGAACACTACTGAAAATTTAATGTAAAAATGTTAAGAGTAAATGAATCAACTTTGCTTCTATTCTTTCTGGCAAATGCCATGCAGAAAGCAGGTCTTGGATACTAACACATCCTGTCTTTCCTATTTTGGATTGTATTTTCTCTTTTTTAAAGTGGAAACTTTGAAATCAGAACTTGGCAAGTGAGATTAAAATTGTATAAATTTTATTTCTATATTATATATTAAAATTATATAATTAAAGTGGGATTAAAAATATATAAAGATAAATATTTTCCAGTTGTGAGTGGGTCAAAATAGTCAGAGGAAAAATATTTTTAAATAAGACTTGCTAGTAAAGTCGGCAAGGATAGATTGGCACATCTGTGAGATTATTGGTGTCATGCTTCAGTGCTGATGTATGGTAAAATCCTTTTCACTCATTCATAGAGGAGGCAAATCAGAAATTAGATAAACATAACTATAGGATCACTAGACACTGGCAACATTACTGTCCTCAAAGAGTCCTGGAAGTAGCTAAAATCATAGCCTCTGGGTGATTTTCACAGAGAGACACTTGAAATTACATGTTGGGACCACAATCTCTGCAACTAATTCAATTATGCTCTGGACCACTAAGATCTGGTCTGGAATGGGATATTAAGTTTGACTTTGAAATGTGGATAATGCTGATTTGTCACAGACCCAGCTCAAAGTATGTTAATGTTATAGACTGTGGTGCAGATTCGATGGTCTCTCCAGTAGGTTTTTCACTTCTAACTTCAGAGTCCTGATGCTAAAACAAAAATGAAACAGAATGAGGAGGGAAGAAAGGAAGGAAGAGAAAGGAAGGAAGAGAAAGGAAGGAAGAAGGAAGGAAGGAAGAAAGGAAGGAAGGAAGGAAGAAAGGAAGGAAGGAAGGAAAGAAGGAAGGAAAAAGCCCAACAAAATAAACAAAAGCCAAAAAAAACAAAAACTTTAGAAGAATTCCTGTATTCCTCGTACAGAGTGTGTCCTGTAATTCCACATTTCCATTCTCTTTTGAGAGAGATGGAGCAGAAACTATAAACACATTTTGATTGAACAGAAATATATTTTCCAATCCCAATTTCTTTTTTTAGTCTTTTATTAACTTGGGTTACTTCAGCACCACAGTTACATTCTTTTATCCTACAGGACCCTGCTTAAAAAGTCAGTAGAGTGGAAGTCCTAAACTGTGTTCAACTGTTCTTCAAAACTTGAGAAATTCAGCTAAATGCATGGGCTTATGCTCATGTCCAGGTGCAAATGCACATACACACACACAGATGCCACAAGCTCCCACTGTGATGGGTGTGTTTAAAGCTTAGAAGAATGAAGCTTATTCATTATTATAGTGGCTGAAATCACAGAGAGACCATCAGTGCTTCAGATGAAGTCCCATAATTACACTCTATTACACTATTTGTATACAAATTGCCAAAAACAATGCTTTCATCTGCCAAGTAGACCCAGAGGTGAAGCTGAACTGCAATTTTGCCAGCAACACCTTCTATTTTAATAGGGGACATGAGCAAACCAATAGTTTAGAAAAAAGAGACCCCTAAACCAATACAAACTACTTATGTGTTCCAATAATGATATAGACCCCAGGCAAAGGAGGGAAATGTGGTATAGTTTTTTGAAATGTAGAAAGTCTTTCTATGATATAAGTTGAGTATAAGTGTAAAGATAGTCATGTGGAGGATTATTTTTGTCTAAGATGCTTTACATAAAGTGTAATGACATGGAAGAAATGAGAGAAATATGTAAAATTATAAACAGCATTATTAGTTCTATTTCATACTTTTTACATGCCATCATTACTGTAAAATGTTTAGGGGATATATGTGAATAGCCCTACCCCTTATTCTCTAAAAAAGGTTAAAATGTTTCAAGATAATTGTTGCTTTTTATTTACCTCTTTCAAAACTTTCACTTTAATTTTCCTTAAATGTCTGCTGTGTAGCCAACTAGACATTTCACTTAAAGGTACCCAAAACCATCTGAGGAAGGACAGCCAGACCAACCCTCCATGAGGCAAATAGGCAATGTCATTAAGATGGACTAAACACTAGCATCACTATAATTATTCTATGCTTCTTGCCATAATATACTGCAGCAATTCATCAAATATGACAAATATTGCTGAGTGGAGACAAACAGAGATCAAAGAGATAATGTCTTTTAATGCACTTAATTCATAATGATTTCTGAGCACCTAAAGATCTAGGACCCAGCTTTAAATTTACCCTTTGTTAGAGTGACAGAATTTCTTGGTATATAATGTGCATGCATGCCTATGTTGTACGATTAGTGCAAGACTACACATTATATACCTTAGCCATAGTTTTCATACAACCACGGTGTTCCTATGTTCTTTTGCTATAACTTTGTCTTAAGCAAGTTGGCCTTATGAATGCAATATCGATATGTATGAATTTACTTTCCCTTAAAATGTGTAAACCTAGATTGTTAATACTAAACTCCCAACTAGTCTAGTAAGAAATAAAGTCATTTTCCCACAAAGTTTCCTTACTATCAAGATTAAACTAAATAACTGGGACAGTTATTTTTATTGTCTTGTCTCATGAAGTAGAATTTAAATAGTTAAGCAAATAATTTATTTGTTTCCAACATACTGTTGCAAGGATCTGCTAAAAATTTATAATTTTTATTCACCTTTTACCCAAGTATTCTATATTATGTAGCATTTTCTACATTTAAATAATCTTTAACCTGACAAATTTATGTTAATTTTAGTGTCATCTGAAAAAAATGCATCATGTTACAACTTTCACAATTGCATGTGTATGGAAATGTCATTTTTTTAATGAAACTTGCAGTTGTTTCAGTGAGTGTGGGCATGTTGCAAAGAATTATAGATGATGATGCATATGCATAATTTCAAAAAGGTAAGTAATTTCCAAAACAAGTTATAAGTCAATGTTATCTTCAAGTTCCTGTGTTTCCCTTCCAAATACTGTAAAATTTTATTCTGTAACTCTATAGATCTCATACTATTTGAATAAGAAGGATATTCACTACTTACCTATTTTAACCAAAGTAATTTCATTATAAATATTACATGATAATTTATGTGTTAAGTGTTTAGAAATTATCTAAGAGGAATTTCGTGTTTTTAAGCTATAAAATAATGCATTACTTACTATTTTATAACACAGTTATTCTTTAAGAACCATCTAAAAAAATACCAAAATGGCAGAGACTAAGTAAAAAACTTGCTTAATCTACATTTTGGTTGGTATAAAAAGGCATAGACTTTAAGAGATACTTGCAGTATGAGGTATTTACACATTTAGAAGGTTGTAGATGTAATGTGGATTCATGAATTTTCCCCCAAATCTGTAGAGTCACCTTGTCAAATTCAGATCCAACCAAGTTTCCTGAGATTCTTCACACTGGCACAAGGTTCCATTGTGACATTCTGGTTATTCAGGTATTGCCTTGGTTTTTATCTTTATCATGGGGTTGATATCAGTAACTACATGAAAACCTGTTCTTTAAAAGTAAAATACAGAGGCAGGTGAAACTTCAGCATGCACACTATTGGGCCATGTCACTTATAAGATACATAATCAAATTTCTATTACAGATGTTATTCTACTGAAATCTTGGATTATGACATAAGCTATCCATCCCTTAGGTAAATTCATCTCAGAATAAGATTCATAAGTTGGTAATATAATTCAGGAAAAGAAATCAATTCTTGCTTATTTAAAATTTTTGTTTTACCAGGTGTTAAATGAAGCATTTAACCTAGTTATAATGATAATACTATTCAAAACAAATGATAACACTTGAAACCAGACGAAAAAAATGAATATTTTTCCATCTTGGAACTTAATAATATGACTATTTATTTGTGAGTTTATCAATGTAACATCTAGTTCATATTAAGAGCTTGATTGAGAAAGATGTTTAAAATCACTGATGTTTCTAATTCCAAAACTTAGCATCCATCAGAATTCTGTTTCCTTTAAAAATGTATTATTAGTATTTTTCACCTCTGAATGATTTTGCATGTCTCCCAAAATATAAACAAAATGTTTAAAGCATAAATAGACATTGTAAGTCCAGCATTGTATGTCATTCTCTATCAGTTATTTATCACTACAGTTTGTGGTGTAACAAACCACAAACTCTGAAACAATTATCATTTTAAACATATATGGGCTAATTGGCTAGGAGACTCTGCTGATCATGGCTATTGTTGCTCAAGCACGTATGGGTAGGCTGGCTATTGACTGACCTGTGAGGGCCACAGATGGGACAACTGCAATGACGCAGCTTGGTTTCTCATGTCTCATTCTCCAACAGCTCAGTTGCGGCCTCATGGCAAAAGCAGAGAACTGTCTGCATGGGTCACATCTGTGAATATCCAGTTGGCCAAAGAAATGTACATGGTTAAACTCAGTATCAAGGGGTAGTGGAAGGAGCTTCAAATTTATGTGTCAGAAAGTGTTGAATTAGGTACAAGAGAAGAATTTGGCTAATAATGCAACTATTTCCCCAGTCTACTGTTTATTTCATTTTACTTAAGAAATAACTCTATTGATATATTCATAGCTATCAAAACAAATAAATAAACAAAATAACATTAAATAATTTAGAGAAAGAGAAATTTCTGCCATAATGGCACAACCTGAATGTTCTTACATTTCAGTGTGTATTCTTTCAGGCTTTGCAAAGTATGTGTGACACATGAGATTAAATTATGAATTTGCTATTGTTACATAAACTGTGGGCAAATTCAGAATATAAGGAAACTTTAAAAAACTTTAAAAAAATTGATCTTTGCAAACCTACAGTAAACTCATAGTCAATGATGAAATTTTAGAAATATTTATTTTAAAGTCAGGAATAAGAAAATGAGGCCCACTATTATTTTTTCTAGTCAACATTATCTTGGAGTTCCCATCAAATAAAGCAAGAAGGAAAAAATCAAAGGAATATATGATGAAGAGAAAAAAATAACATTTTTCACAGACAATATTGATAGCAAGAAAAATCTAAGAATATTCACAAATCAGGCTATTAAAATTATGAAAGGAATTCAGTGAGTTTGAAATCAATAGCATTTCTAGACACCATCACGAATGTATTTAAAAAAAACAAGTCATTCACAGAAGAAAAGATATAAACACCTAGGAATATTAAACAAGAGATGAGAAACATGATTATGGAGAAAAATTAAAATGTATTCTTGAAGACATAAAATACCAATAATAGATGCTGTGTGCTATGTTTACATATAAGAACATTCAATGTGGAAGATTTTGCAATATTTGTCAGATTAGTTTAAAAATCAATGAAATTTCAGTCAACATCTGAACCAGAGATTTTGAAGAGGTTAATTTTAAGAATAATCATGGACACCTGAAGAAGAAAAGGGAAAGGGAGCAGGATGTATTTGCCCCTTATTATAATTCCTAGTAAATTTCAAAAGTGTGGCTTCGATACAAGGGTAGACAAATAGAAAAATGTGGCAGAATAGAAAGCCCAGAAACAGACATGATAAACACAAAGAAAATTGGCACATGGCAGAGTAATTATTAAAAATCTGTGGAAAAAAGATGGACTGTCCAATAAATATTGCTAGTGGGCTAAAATTTGTTAGCCTAATGAAAAAACTATCATATTTTAATATCTATAATAATAAGCCCAAGATGGATAAAGACCTAAGCATGAAAACAAAAATTTTAAAACTTTTTGAAGAAAACGGTATTTTTGTAATTTTAAGGTAGAAATAATTTTGTAAACAGGATACAAAAAGTACAAATGTTAAAGAAAAATATGGGAAAAATGGAATATAAAAAAAGGAGCATTACTACTGATCTTACAACCTTTAGAAATATAATAAGATAAAAATGGGCCAAAGACCTTAATAGACACCTGGCCAAAGATACATATATATATATATATATATATATATATGCTATATATATATATATATATATGCTATATATATATAGCAGTTAAGCATACGAAAAGATGCTCTGCATTATATGCTATATGCAGAGACAAAAGACCCAGAATAGCCAACATACCATTGAAGGAGAAGAAAAAAGTTGGAGGACTGACACTATCTGACTTCAAGACTTACTGTGAAGTTACAGTAAAGAAGACAGTGTGATATTGGTGAAAGAATAAATGTAGATTAAAGTAACAAAATAGAAAGCTCAGAAATCAGCCCACATAAATATAATTAATTGATCTTTGACAAAAGGGCAAAAGCATGACAATAGAGAAAATTGTTTGTTTGTTTGTTTGTTTCCCAACAAATAGTGCTGGAACAAGTATACATCTTGCATATATGCAAAAAAAAACAATTAAACACAAACCCTATCCTCCCTTCATAAAAAATAAATCTAAAAGAATCGCAGACCTAAATGTAAATGTGAAACCGTAGAACTACTAGAAGAAGAAAATCTAGATGACCTTAGGTTTGGTGATGACTTTTTAGATACATTTCCATATGTATGATTCATGAAAGAAATAACTAATAAGTTAGACTTCATTATAAGTAAAAATTTCTGCTCTGAGAAAGACACTGTCAAGAGAATGAAAAGACAAGCCACAGAATGGGAGAAAATATTTACAAAAGACATCAGATAAAGGACTGTTATTGAAAATACCCAAAAAAAACAGAGTCAACGATAAGAAAAGGAACATGCTGATTTAAAAAAATGAGTCAAAGACCTTAAGAGACACCTCACTAAAAAAGATGTACACATGGCAAATAGTCATATAAAAAGATGTTCCACAACATGTGTCATTAGGGAAATGCAAATTAAAGCAATAATGAGATACTGTTACATACCTATTAGAATGGTTAAAACCCAAAGCATCAACACCAGTGCTGGCAAGAAACTGGAACAACAGGAACTGTCATTTGTTGCTGGTGGGAATAAATATAATAAATTTGAATAGGCCAATATACATGGAAGAAATTAATGTGTAATTTAAGACCTTCTTATAACAAAAATTTCAGGCCTAGATGGCTTTACTTGTAAATTCTACAAAATATTTAAGAAAGAACATCAATCATATCCAAATAGAATAAAGCATAATAGTGTAGAAAAAAAACTTCTCAAGTCATTTTATGAAAGAAGACAATAATCTTACAGAAAGAAATCTTATAGATAACTCTTTCATAAACCTAAATGCAAAGTCCCCCCCAAATTTAGCAACAGATTCCAATGATTTCAAAAGCATAATAAATCATAAAAAATTGATTTATTTTTGAGATTCAATTTTTCACATTCTGAAATAAATTTAAGTCAGAAATCAACCAAGTTAATATAAAATAAGACAAAAATTACATAGTCAATTCAATAGATACAGAAATTTACTTGATAAAATAAAATTCCATATTCATTCATGATTAAATAAACCCTTTTAACAGGCTAGAAATGGAAGGGAACTTCTGTAAGAAAATTTTTACTTATAAAGAACTTACAACAAACACTAAGTATTTGTTGTAAGCTCTTTATGTACTGAGAAATATTTCATATTTATATACAATGAGATATAGTGAAAGTTGTTCACCTGAAACTGTGACAAAGACAAGTATGTTTTTCATTAGTATGTCAATTTACCGTCATGTTAAAGGTCTAAGCCAATGGAATAAGGCTAAAGAAATAAAAATTCTATGAATTGGAAAAGAAAAAGTAAAGCTGTCACAATTTGCAAATTAGTATGGTTGAGTAAGTAAAAATTTGAAAGAATGCATAAATAAATATACTTTAATGAGTTTAGTAAGGTTTCTAGATGCAAGATCAATATACAAAACTAAATTATGTTTTTAAATAAGCAATAACTAAAAATGAAATTCTAATAAATAATACACTACAATGGCATAAAAATTACCTAGGAATAAGTGAAAATTTGTAAGACTTCCTTAGTGAAAACCATAAAATATTTTTGAGAAAAATTAAGAAGACCTATACAAATGAATTATTCAAGTTCATGGAAAACTCATAAGGTAAATATGTCAACTTTCTCCAGATTGATCTATAGGTTCAGTACAATCCTAAAACAAATCCTAGGTTTATTGTGGGAGTTGACAAGCTATTTTAAGATATATATGGTAATGATAAAGTCCAGGAACAGCCTAGACAATTTGAAGAAAAAATAAGTTTGATGACCTATTCTGCAGATATAAAGACCTATTGTGGAGGCTAATGTTAACTCTATCTTGGAAGCTAATCTCCCATGACTTCCAATTAATCCCAGTTCTGGGGATGCCTCTAAGATTTCCAGTTCTTCTATTGTTCCTTGTGTAAAAGCACATACTTACTGCAAATCCTGCCCTTAGATCAAATCGACTTTGATAAACTTATACTTAGCATAAATCTTGACCTTAAATCAAATTAAGCATGTATACCTTTTCCCTATGGTATATAATCCCTGGTTCTGGGGGTCAATGGGATGGAGATCTACTTGTCTGTGGCCACTCAAGACCACACTTCTGTCTGTTATGTTCCCCAATAAAATTGTCCTATAAGGACAAGCTTGATTTGTTTGCCTACTTAGGTTTCTTGGTTTCTTCTGCATTTGTTGGTTGCTTTGCACATACAGCCTTTTCTTGAAATACCTACTATAAAGTTTTAATAAGCAATGCCATGTGTTATGGGCAAAAAGGTATCCAAATAGACCAATAAAAAAGAATCAAGAGTTAAGAAACAGACTCATGATATTTAGTGACATGATTTTTGAAAAGTTGACTGCAGAGCAGTAGGTAAAATGTGGTATTTTTAACAAATGATGTGAGTAATTGGAAATACATGTTGGGGGAAGGAAAGATTGACTTCAGTTGGTCCCAGAGACACAATTTAATTCCAAATTGGTTATAGATCTAAATTTGAAAGATTTATAGATCTTTTATTTATTTATTATTTATAGATATTTATAGATTATTTATAGATCTAAATAATAAAGCTTCTAGACAAAATTATAGGAGCATGTCTTCATGATCTTCGGATTGGCACAGATTTTTTAAATGAGAGTTGAAAAGTGCTAATCATAAAGAAAATATCTGATAGTTTTTACTATGTTAAAATTTAGGACATCTATTAAAAGATACTTTTAGGAAAGTAAAAATGTAAGCCCTGGAGTAGGAGAATACATTCATCCCAAATAATGGTCAAAGGGTTTGTATATTGAACCTATAAATACGTTTTCAAGTCAATATGAGAAACACAGATAATCCAATAGAAAAACAGAAAACATTTGAACAGACACTTCACAGCAGAGAATATCTAAGTGACCAAGAAACACATGAAAAGATGCTTGGCATTATTAATAATTAGAAAAATACAAATTAAGATGACAATGATACACACTTCATATCCACCAAAGTGGTCAGGCAAATAGGAAAAAACTGACATGACAAAATATTGGTGATTGTGTAGAGCAACATCAATACTGTTGCTGGTGGAGTGCCTATTACATTAAGCACATTTGACAACTTTTAAAAATTGTCTTCTCAAGTTGAATTTATCCTGTATTCTAGAGATTCAGTTTCTAGGCATACAAAACGCACCAATACATGCAACAAGAAAGGTATACATTAATGTTGATAGCAGCATTGTTCACAACACCCAAGAATTGGAAACAACCCAAATGTCCATCAATAGCAGACCAAGTAAGTTGTGTGCATATGCACAACAGACTGCTATACAGCAATGAAAACGAAGGAATTATATTCATCCTCACATCTGAATAAATCTCACAACCATAATGTGGGTAGAAGAAACCTCAAACAAAATAGTACATACTCTAAGATTTTTATCTGTAAAAAGTTCCAAATATATGCAATACTAAAGTACAATATTTAGAGACACATGATTTAGAGGAGGCATGAGGATGTTTCTGGGGTGCTGGCAGTGCTCTTGACCTGGTTGATGGTAACATGGATATTTGCTTTGTATTATTATAATGGGCTGAGATATACATTTTTGTTTTCTATATTTTATAAATGTGTTATATTACTATAGAATGCCTTTAATAATAGAGATTACTTTTCTAAAATTGGGAAATTTGGTTGTTAGAAATGCTGGAAATAATCTTATCACAGGTATTCTGGTCAGAATGATACACCAGCACTTGCTGTTGGTAAACTTTGCGGATGAATGTTCTTCAAAAGGAGGTCCTATCTCCCCACTTCACAAATACAGTTTAGTGTCCTCTAAGTATGGTTGAGGGTTTTTCAGTCTTCCCCACTTTTTTTAATAATGTCAGAACATGCAATATATTTTAAATCTATGCAAGATCTTCCTTCCTGCTGTGCTTAATTTCTGAATCCAATGCTGTCACAAAAACAGATGCAATGTGATGCCCGGTGGAAAGAGCAAGTACCGATTTTCATCAGCACTACATAGCCTCTCCTGTAAATTGGTCCTGTGCACCCTGTTCAGGCAGATGGACCACATGTTTTTTGATGGTTTTATATTAAGATGGTAATGGAAGACAAAGTTACTTTTTAAAGTGAAGTAATTATTTTTCAGAATTTGGAAACCAAATCATCAAAGTAGAGTTGAGTTTGTTTTTTTTTTCCTATTTCAAGTATTTAGCTTGTGTCAGAAAAAATATTTACTAAAATTATTTCAAAGAATACTTATTAAACTTGGTAATGCTAAAAGGCTCATAATATCTGTTGTCTATTTTGAGTCTGATTTGAAACTAACTTGATGATTAGATCCATAATTTAAAGAAAGATGCTAGATCTAAAAACATTTCTAATTATTATAAATAAATGAAAATGAGAACTCCTGGTACACCAAAAATGTTAATTTGTTTAAGTGAGAAGATAAATATTCTTTCTCCTTTAATTGATTATGTAATCATCTCAATTGTGAATCTGACCTATCTATGCAGCAAGCAAATAGATTTCAAAAGGAATTATTAAGTAGACAGACCTTAGTCAGGCAGTCCTTTTTTTTTTTTTTAACATGAAAATTGGTCCTGCCTTACAAAACACGCAATTAAAGTATTGAGTGACTGTAGGTAGTTGGAGAAGTTACCAGACAAAAGCTTCACATTTCTGTTTATATATAATATCATGTTTCCAGCCTAACTAATGTTTCATGTTACTGAAGGAGAAAGAATATGTTTCATTTATATTATGACTGGAATATACTTGTCCTATATTTAAATAAGACTTTTCCCACTTCCTCAGTTTTGGTGGTACAAAATAAATTCGTATCTGCACATTATTCAAATTAACTATTTCAAGTCTTGTTTGGCTTTCTCAAGCTTATCTTTCTTTCCTATCACGATTCTTTCACCTTAACTCCTTTTTGATAATTCCAGAAACTCAGAGGTTGACATTCATAGCCTAATTCCTTTTACAACAGTGTTACACAGAGAAAGCTGGAAACTCAGAGTCCTCCTTGGCAACTGGTAATACCTCATGATACTTTCTTCCTGCAAAAGGTCAGTGCTAAAACACTGATTCTGCCAATACTTGCCCATTGTACGATGCTTGTAACAGGGAGGGAGGGTGAAGTGGGTGGGGGTGGGGACAGTGGGGTCAGTCCTGCTATTCCGGCAAATTCCTCTTTGACTTCTACTAAAAAAATGCTTGAGTGAAGTATGATCACCTTCAAAATGTGGAAACCTAGCAGCCTAATGTGATGCCTACAGCTACTTCTGCAGTTACACAGCACAAGGACTTCCTGTGTCAATTGCATTGCCCCAGCTTGGCACCTACTGAATACTTAACAACATTTTCAGGTCAATTTGTATTTAGTTTGCAACTAGCCATCTTGGGTTTTCCATCTCTGGAGTACATTATTTTAGACTTGTTCCCATTTCCTCTCACCCTCTACACTTTTTCTCTCCCCAGTAGTACTGTACTATCCTTATTTGCTTCCCTTCTCTTTATGAAAGCCTACTCCAATTTTCAGTTCCCAGGAGAAACAAAACTCTCTTTTTGAAAAAAATCCACTTTTTCACTTATAGAGCTAAGATTGGTTTCCAAACTTCACTGAAATAATTACAGTTAACTACTAGAAAGCCTTGAATGAAGAAGTATAACATTGATTACTTTTTTCCCCAGCAGTGACTTTAGTTTTACTCTTTACTCCTCTCTCTTATTCATTCTCATCTTCAAGTTATATTGTTTTGTTCTCTCCAGTTTCATTCTTACTACTTAACGAGGGCCTCCATCAGCCATCCAAAAGTCTCCCTCTGCTTTAAATTTACCTCTTTTGGTGGGTAAACGGGAGTGCCTATCCTCACCTAGGTCCAGGGGCATAGGCCCAGGGGTGGAGCCCTCGCCAGGGACCATGCCCTTCTCTACCCAGCACTTCCCTGATCCCTCCAATATCACTATCTCTCACATCAGTCTCCCCAAGAACTCAGAGGCTAGGGTTTTTATGGATAATTTTGTGGGTGAGAGCTATGGAATGGATGCTGCTAATTGATTGGGGATGAAGTCATGGAGTATGGAAAATGGTCCTTGTGTGCTGAGTCCATCTCTGGGTGGGGGGACACAGGACCGATTGAGTCATGAGTCATGGGTCTTGGACAGGTCAGTCAGTTCCCAGAATGCAAAAATTGGAAAAACTTCTCAATAGATCAATCTTAGCTTCTACAATAGTGATGCTATCTATAGGAGCAATTGGAGAAGTCACAAATCTTGTGAACGCAAGCCACAGGATTTCTGAGCAGTAAGAGATTATAAAAACTATGCCTACGTTTTAGCAGAATTCAGGACCCTCTCATAATTCTAATCTTGTGGCTTTTCATTCATTTTTGGTCCCTAAGCAAAAAGGGACTTAGTTTTAGGGAAGGTCTATTATTATCTTTGTTTCTAAGTTAAGCATAAACTAAATTCCTCCCATTGTTGGATTGGCCTACACCCAGGAATGAGCAAAGACAAGCAGCCTGTAAAGCTAGAAGCAAGATGGAGTCAGCCATGTTAGATTTTTCTCACTGATACACTCTTTGCAAAGGTGGCTTCACTTTCTTTAGCAATTCATTCTTTTCCATCATGTCAGTTTGTAACAAATTATCTTCACTTTCCTTTATCCAAGAATGTCTTTATTTCACCATTATTCTTGAATGATATTTTCATTGGATATAGAATTCCAGGTTTATAGTTCTTTTTTTCCATCACTTTAAAATGTTGCTGTTTCCGCCTTACATGGATTAGGATGAGAAATCTGGAGTTAAATTTAGTAATGTATTATTTTTCTATGGCTGCTTTCAAGATTCTTTCTTTGTCCTTAGCTTTCAGAAGTTTGATTATAATATGTATTTTGGAAGAGATTTCTTTGGCTGTATCATTTTTATGTGTGCTGAGCATTCTGAAATTCTAAGTTTACATTTTTCACCAGATTTGGGAAGCTTTCAGCGATTATATTTTTAAACATTTTGTTCTGCATACATTCTTTTCTATGTCTGGAAATATAAATAAATTTAGACCTTTTATTATTGTGTTACAGGTCCCCAGGTCTCTATTTTTTCAATCTTTTTCTCTGTCATTCAGATTGGATAATTTCTATCAATCTATCTTCAAGTTTATTAATCTTTCCCCTTTTATTTCCATTATGCTATTGACCTCAACTGAAAATTTTTTATTTTCATTGTTTTATTTTTCATTCTAAAATTTTCGTAATTTATATTGACTATTTTCATGTTAAGACTTCTTATTTTCCCATATATTTCAAGGATGTTTGCTCTTACTTCCTAGAACATGGTTATACTCACTATTTTAAAGTGTTTGATAGTTCCAATATCTGTATCATTTTGGTGTAGTTACTCTTGTGCCATTTTTCTTATGAGATGTTGAAATGTGTCTGGTGCTTCCTACACCAAGTGATTTTGAATTGTTTCCCGTGCTTTTAAAGTATCATATTTTAAAACTCTTAGTCTTGTTTAAATCCTATATAGAATGTTGATATTTGATTGTTTGTTTTAGCAGGCAATTGATCCAGTTGGGTGCAGACAAGTCCATATCTATCTTTGTATGTTGTGTTCAATTTTTAAAGCCTTTGCAGTGGTATTCCCACATGCACACCACTTAGTGGACAGTCTGGGACCTGGGCTGTAGTCAAGACTACAGTTAAGTTCTGAAAGCTTTTACTGTGCTCTTCAGGGTCATATTCATGCACATGGGGCCCAGGAGTGAGTCATGGCATTCATATGCAACTTTATAGAATTGCTTTTTAAAGTTCCCTCCATCTCTCTCTAACACCTTATAGTTCCCAGAAGCCCTCTCCTTCTGGTTCTCTGGCTAAAAGCTGGTGTTCTTGCTTCTCTGGCTCTGCCATGTACTTTCCATTACCCTGTATACCTACAGGGCAAAATGGTAAAAAGAATAGAAAGAGATAAAAAGGAAAAGCAAGTGGATTCTCCTGTGCTCTTGTGACTACAGGTCCTCTGATCAGAGAGGTTTTCTCTTTGATGAAATTGTAAATATCTTTCAAGTTATCTTTTCTGTTTCTGCTACTGCCACTGTGTGATCTCCTGCGGAGTAGGGTGGTAAGACAAGAGAGAGAAAAAAAAAAATTGAACAACACAGAAAGTTCCTCATTATCTTTGACGAAAAGAGATCCCTCATAACAAAAATAGAGAGCTTCTTTTGAAACACTTTCTGTCTGTACCTTGTATGCAGTATTGGGTTCCGGACTGCATTTGCATTCAGGCCAGGTAATAAAAAATGAAAAAAATCTGTTAACTTACTGCTTGTTTAGTGGTACTATCATTTACTTCTTAGTTCTCAACTGTCCCATATATTCTCTTCTGGGATTTTAGTTGCATTCATTTTGAGAGACAAGTTGAAGTATATTTATTCTATCTTGACAAGAAAAGAACTTTCATTTAAAAAAATTATAATTTTTAAAATTGTGATAAAAAACATAAAATTTACCATCTTAACCATTTTTAAGTGTACACTTCAATAGTGTTAAGAATATTCACATTGTCCTACCACAGATCTCCAGAACTTTTTCAACTTGGAAAACTGAAGCTCTACACCCATTCGACAAAAACTCCCTAAATCTCCCTTCCCACACCCCCTGGCAATCCTCATTTTACTCTTTTGTTTCCATGAGCTTGACTACATGAGATGTCTCATGTAAGTGGAGTCACACAGTATTTATCTTTTTGTTATGTGTTTATTTCATTTAATGTAATTTATGCAAGGTTCATCCATGTTGTAACATATGATATGGTTTGGCTCTGTGTCTGCACCCAAATCTCATCTTCTGGCTCCCATAATTCCCAAATATTGTGGGATGGACCCTGTGGGAGATAATTGAATCATGGGAGTGGGTCTTTCCCGTGCAGTTCTCGTGATTGTGAATAAGTCTCAAGAGATCTGATGGTTTTAAAAATGGGAGTCTCCCTGCACAAGCTCTCTCTTTATCTGCTGCCATCCACATAACACGTGACTCGCTCCTCCTTGCCTTCTGCCATGGTTGTGAGGCCTCCTCAGCCATGTGGAACTGTAAGTCCATTAAACCTCTTTCTTTTGTAAATTGCCCAGTGCGGGTATGTCTTTTTCAGCAGCATGAAAACAGACTAATACAGCATGTGACAAGATTTTATTCTTTTCTGAAGGCTGAATAATATTCATATATATATATATATATATACATTTTGTTTATCCATTCATCTGTGGAATAATGTGCTATAATCTTGGGTGTGCAAAAATCTCTTGGAGATCTTGCTTTCAATTCTTTGGATATATATGCCAAGAAGTGGAATTGCTAGATCATATGGTAATTCTATTTTTAGTTTTTTGAAGAATTTCCATACCGCTTTTCATAGTGCTGTACCATTTTACGGTCCCAAAACCAGTGCTCAAGGTAGTCTAATCTCTCCACATTTTCGGCAAGATTTGTTTTTTCCTGTTGTTTTGATTGTTGACATCGTAATAGGTAAGAGGTGACATCTCATTATAGTTTTGATTTCATTTTCCTTATGACTAATAAGGTTGAACATCTTTTCATGTGCTTCTTGACGATTTGTATATAATCTTTGGAGAAATGTCTATTCAAGCCCTTTGCCCATTTTAAAATTGTGTTATTATTTCTTCGGTTGTTAAGTTGTAAGTGTTCTTCGTATATTTTGGACATTAAACCCTTATAAGATAAGTGATTTGCAAATATATTCTCCCATTCCAAAGACAGAACCTCCATTTTCTTTTGTCTTCCAGTGTCACTATTGAGAGATGGGCCTTCTAGATCCTTCATATGAAATCTTTCTACTTCCACACTCTGAGAGCTTTTATGATCTTCTCTTTTCCACCAGCAGTACAATATCTCATGGCCATACACTTTGGCATGAGTGTATATAATAATTTGCTCCATTATTATGGGCTCTTTTCCTTTGAAAACTTTTCTCCTTCAATTCTGGGAAAAATACTTGAATTGGTCTGATGATGATTTCTTTCTTTCCATTTTTGGTTTTTGTGTCTTCTCTTATATTAGAATAACAGAAGACACAAAAACCAAAATTGAAAAACTCACTTGAACTTATTTTTGAGATTTACCTTTTATCAGTTAAATTTATATTTATCATGGCTACTAGTTATCTGAGCTTTTTCTATTATATTGAATGTTTAATTTACTATATTTCACATTTGCTTCTTTTTGTCCTCTTTTCGGGCTATTATTAGATTGTTAGAATTTTCTTTATTCTATTTGATGCTTTCTACTGGTCTGAAATTTACAATATTCTCTTTTTTCCATAGTGATTTAGCCTTAAGGCCATATCTTCTGTGTCCATGTTGATGTTATAACCCCAGCTCTATTCTCTTTAACCTATATTCAGTATCCCATACATAGTCTGTGGGCTGCCTAATACTTACTGCCACCCATTGAGTTTGGTCCACTAGTGGCAAAAACAAAAAAACAAAAAAACAAACAAAAAAAACCTGCAGTGGGTAAATTTGTTTATTGTATTTCATCCAGCACTTCTGTGTTTGTAACATTGAAGATTTCCATCTATCATGTTGCTTTACAGAGTTGTTTACCTCTAACAAGTGTCATCAAACACAAATAAGTATGAATGTATAGTCAGTCCTCTGTTTCTGTGGGTTCCTCATCCATGAATTTAACCAACTGCAATAAAAAATATTTGGGGGACAAAAAGAATGGTTGTGTCTGAACTGAACATGTTCATATTTTTTGTTCTTGTCATTTTCCCTAATATTTGTTAGTATATAGATATATAAATTAGAAATTATGGCAAAACATACAAAAATGTTAACTGATTTTCTCTGTGGCGTGATATTATTGGTAGTTTTAATTTTCTTCTTTATGTGTATATATTTTCCTAAATTTTGCAATAGTAATATTGCTTTTTATAAAGGAAAACTAGAAAGATTTTTCTTTAAGCTTTTTATATTCATAGTATTAAAACACTGTTTTATACGTATATCAAAGAGATGATTGAACACTAGCTTAATTAATCAATAGTATTAGTGTGGAGAGAAAAATGTGGGCATATGGCTTTAAGTTCAAGTAAAATATGCTTGGAGGAAGTCAGGAGTTGGTAGTATCGTTTAATTTTTAGAGTAGTTTTTAACAGGAAGAGACTGAGAAACTGTTACCTTTTCACCTCTTGTTTTAAACAGAATTATGTGTGTTCAACCTGAATCTATGGGATGATATTTTGCATTACAGTTATTTACATAGCATTTACATTGTGTTAGGTAATATAAGTAATCTAGAGATGATTAGATGGGAGGACGTGCATAGGTTATATGCAAATACGACACCATTTAATATATGGGATTTGAGCATTCCATCTCCCACGGATACTGTGTACATATATGCATGTGTGAATTTATCAATTAAGTGATGTAGTAGAACTGGTACATTATTTCATTTGATTCCATACTATATAGCCTATGTTAGCATTAACTTGATAAAAAAAGAGCTATGTTATTTTGTAGTAATCAAAGGCAATTCTTTACAATTGACATCTTTCAAAACCTTTGTAGTTTTAGAATGAACTCTGTATAATATCTCAGTGGAATTTGAAAGATAATGAATATTGCAAACAATAGTGTACTATAATCCCCAAAACGAAAAATTTGTAGCTATTGCAGGGACTGAAATTTGGAAGCATTTATCAGACCTTCTGAACTTTGAACAAAGTTAAAAAGCCTGGCAGCATATTTTTCTCTAAAAAAGGTGCTGGTTGACTTAGAAAACAACTTTTCCATTTGAACCATGGCTTGTGTGCTTCTGTGTTAGCCATAGCAAATGCTGATCATTATTTTAAAAGCTAGAGAGTAGGAGAGAGAGTAAAATATCTGCCTCAAGCATTTTTTTTCTCAAAAAATAAAAATAAAAAGAGAAAGGGAGGGAGATGCATAAAACAATATTACACTGCATTCACCACTTTGTGTTCAGTGCTTTACAATTGCCTAATTGTTCATCAGCTTCACAAAAGAAATGCCTTTTATTTTCTCCAGGCACTTAGAGATGACTAAGTGTCATTTAGTCAATTGGCAGAACAAAGAAGTCAATTTATGGATTGCGTTTTCACTGTTTCGTTATTCTTAAAAATAATTCAGTTTATTGGTTTAGTGTTCTGAAAAGGCGAGGGGGGATTGACAGGTCTGGAGTACAAAATATCATCCCATAGATTCAGGTTGAACACACATAATTCTGTTTAAAACAAGAGGTGAAAAGGTAACAGTTTCTCAGTCTCTTCCTGTTAAAAACTACTCTAAAAAAAAACAATACTACCAACTCCTGACTTCCTCCAAGCATATTTTACTTGAACTTAAAGCCATATGCCCACATTTTTCTCTCCACACTAATACTATTGATTAATTAAGCTAGTGTACAATCATCTCTTTGATATATGTATAAAACAGTGTTTTAACACTATGAATATAAAAAGCTTAAAGAAAAATCTTTCTAGTTTTCCTTTATAAAAAACAATATTACTATTGTAAAATTTAGGAAAATATATACATATAAAGAAGAAAATTAAAATTACCAATAATATCACACCACAGAGAAAATCACTGTTAACATTTTTGTATGTTTTGCCATAATTTCTAATTTATATATCTATATTAACAAATTATAATCATATGAATGTTATTTTATGACTTCATTTTTATATTTATAAGCATTTATAGGAGGTCATCAAATATTCCTCTAAAATGATTTTTAATTGCTAAATTATTTTCCATATGGATATATCCTTATTTATAAAACCAATCCCCTTTTATTAGACAGTTAAATTATTTGTAGTGGTGTAGTTATTATGAAAACAGTGCAATGAATGTCACTTAATGTCTGTCTTTGTATGCATCTCTGATAAGTTATAAATTATTCCTTACAATAACTTGCTTGTGGTTAACTTACTACACTAACACATAATGACATCTTTAAGGTTTACACAGTATGTGGCCAAACCCCCTTTCCCAAATTTAGTAATTTACTATCCTAAGAGTACGATAGTATATGCATAATTAACTTTTAAATGGTGAAAATAATAGCTTAACAATCAATAATGATGGATGCTTTGAGTCAAAGGGTCTAATTTTTCCATTAGCTTGTATAGAAAATTAAATTTACTATTGAGGAATGTGTGTTTTTTTATTAATATATCTGTAATTTTATCAGTATAAATTATCTTTATGCTTTTAACTATCCTTTAGTCTTTTCTACTATTAAATCTCATAGATATTATTGTTATTCTAATTACTTTAATGTAAATGTATTACTCAGAAGTGTAAAACATATTTACGTAACGTTTTCTTATTTTTTAAAAAAGTTTTCTATTAATAATTATGAAATACAGGATTTTACTCATTTTTTTACACAAACAGGAACTATTCCTTTTTAAATTGAACAAAAAACTTTGGAGAATTTGATGAAAGTTGGAGAAAAAAATTGAAGAAAAGATGCACAGATGTTTGCTATTCTCTTTTAATCACTTTTTCCCAGAAATTGTTCATTTCACCAGAAAATACTAAATGTAGGAATAAAACTGCTGCATAGTACACTCTATACTCACAAATGAAATTATCTAGTTATATTCAATCTATTTTGTATTTTTTTAACAGCAAGTGGCTTTTCTATATGCAGACTGAGCATTGAAATGCACCGCAGCCACAAATTGTGATTAGAAAAGCTGCTTGTTTAGCAGTTTCAAAGAGAACCAACATGACAATCAAACATGGAAAGAGCAGATGGAAAATTTATTTTAGGACATGCAGCAATAATAGAGAAATTAGGGAGCAATTAAAACATGAAAAAAAAACAGTTTAGCTGAAAAAGTAAATCCAAAGTTATTTCAGTTCAGTTCCCAATTATGCTTTTTCTTAAACCAAGGTTTGAATTAGGAAGAATGAAATGTGAATGTTCCTTTAGCAAATAAGGTACAACTTAGAGTGACATGTGGTGATTGTTTAAAACAGTCTTAAAAACCAGAGCAATCACTCGATACTAGCATTTCTTTTTAGATAGTTAAATTGTTGGTAGATGTCAACCTGTATTTAGACTGTTGGTAGATGTCAACAGTATCTAAAACTTGTATTTAGCTTTGTACTTTAAAAATTTAACTATAAAAATTAAAAATCTGTTTTAAGTTGGCTGCATAATAGTTAGGGCCCCATGTATTAGTTTCTCAGACATCTTGCACCAAATATGTCAGAATAAATTAATGTAACCTTTGAAAATAAAGCTTTCTGCAGGTCTCTACTTCTGGATCTGAATGGAATATGCCAAGGCACAAGGGTTCCTTGTTATAGACACCAAATACACAATGTGAACAAAATACTTTCACTGGGACAGTTCTAAATGTAAATGAATTGTAGCATCAGGTGGCGGTGACTCCAGATTCTTACACAAAATTGTAGTACTACTGGTGCTGGAGCTTAATGCACAAGGCTACAGCTGTACCCTGAGAAGACGGGGCCAATGGAAGAGCAGTGTGTTTGCCAGTGTTAATGATAGTACCTCAGGTTGGATTCTTTAGAAGCAGAGCCTCACCCAGGGATTCATGTGCAAGTGATTTAGAAAGGAAGTCCTCCCAGGAGAAACCAATAAAAGAGAGACAAAAGCAAGACAGTGAAGAGGTTGAGAGTAACCAGGTGCGATTTTAGACAAAGGCCCCTTTAGACAAAGGGTGGCTTCTGCCTGATCCAAAAGGAATTTTGAGGTGTTAGTTATGCCATAGTTTATCCAAACACATAATTCCTCCACCAGGGAACATGTGGTTAGATTAAACCAACTTGTCACCAAATGGCTGATTGGTCTCCTGCAGGGTTGATAACATATTGAACATTTAGACTCCATTCTTGACAAAGTCAGATATGCAGCCTCAATGAGAAGAAGTCCAAGTTTGTGCTGTTGGGCCCATGCGTAATCCCCAAGTCTAACACCATGGCTACATTTTTGGGCCTGAAGTGGGAAAGACCGTGGTTGGAGCAGGATTTTGTTTTTGTTTTTTGGGTGGAAAGTGTGTTGGTGAAGGAGGAAGAGGTGGAGACTAGAGGTTCAGTCTTGTATTGCTATGAAACATCCAAATGGAGATGTCACATAGATAGTTGGATATACAGATCTGAAGTTCAGAGGTTTCCATACTGAAGTTATACAAATTCAGATATTTTAAGCTGCAGGTAGTATATAAAGCTAAGGAACAGAAGAGTTCTTCCATGGATTGATGTGCATAGAGAAGAGGTTCAGGACTAAAACCTGCTGCATTCCAATGTTTAATGGTCAGGGGGATGAGGACCAGAAGTGAAAGAGACCAAGAAGGAGCAGCCAGTGAGGAAGGAGAAACCCAGGACAATAACATGTCGTGCAATAGAAGTCAAATGCTATTGATGCCTCCAATAGGATGAGGGGTAAGAATCACTTATTAGATTTAGTAAGGTTTACATCATTAGTGACCTTGCTTTTGACAGAGTGATGGGAACACAACTGTAATTGTGGTAGATTCAAAGGAGAATGAGAGGAAAGAACTTGATGGCGGCAAGTAATGGACATCTCTTTGGAGAAATTTTTGTTGTTGTTGTTGTTTTTGTAAAAGGAAGTAGAGAAATAGAGCAATAATGGAGAGAATTGAGATAAAAAGAGTTAGAAATAATAACATTTTTATTCGGATGGGAATGACCCAACATCAAGGGGATTTTGATATTGAAACAAGGAGAAGACAGAATCAACAGAGCAACATCCTAAAGTATCAGATGTTTGTGTTAACAGTGTAGGAGTAGAACATAAGAATCAAGTACATATTATCCTAGCATTCATTCTTTCATTTTTGAAGAATGAGTAAGAGTAACAGACATAGTTATCTGGACCTTCTCATTCTAAAATTTTTGAGGAATGCATCTAGAAGATGCTATGTGTGATGGTGGTAGAAAGTGTCAAGAAACACAGCTGGGCCGGGTGCAGTGGCTCACGCCTGTAATCCCAGCACTTTGGGAGGCTGAGGTAGGCAGATCACTTGAGATCAGGAGTTTGAGAACAACCTGGCCAACATGGTGAAATCCAGTCTCTACTAAAAATACAAAAGTTAGCCAGGCATGGTGGTGTGTGTCTGTAGTCCCAGCTACTTGGGAGACTAAGGCGGGAGAACCACTTGAACCAGGTAGACGGAGGTTGCAGTGAGCCAAGATTACGCCACTGCACTCCAGCCTGGGTGATAGAGTGAGAGCCTGTCTCAAGAAAACCAAACAAACAAAACAAAAGAAGAAACACAGCTGAAGCATGCCGAATCATGGGTAACAGGATTATGACTCATTACAGCATAAGATTTATCCTAGATTGGTGGAGACTTGGTATACTCTTGCTGAAAAACTTCCATGTCATATTCTTGGAGAAGAGAGGACCAGCATATCTCAGTTATTCAAAGAAAGTGTTGAATGCATAAGATATTGTAAGATATCATGGTGTGTTCTTAATGCTGGCTAAAAAGAGAAAATGAATTGAGGCTTATATAATGGCTGACTTCATAAAAATCTTTCTTTTACCACAAGATATGTTACTTTCTAAAACATACCAATGATATTGAAGGGGAAAAATACTATAAATCCGTTAGAAATTAAAATAAAATCTTGACTGCAATAAATATTTGTAGATAATACCATTTAATTTTCTAATAGTAAATATAATTAAATAATACCTTGGTACTTCTTTCCACTGGAAGTTTTAAAATATATCCACAAATTTTTAAATATGTCTTCCTTCAAAACTTACGTCCCTACTGCTTTTTGAGAGTGGAAAAAAGTGACAACTGTGATTAGGACATGAATGACATTGTGGCTTCTCTCTCACTACTCATTCTGGGGGAAGCCAGATGCTGTGTAATTAGGGCAATCACGCAGCCCTAAGGAGATATTTACTTGGTGAAGGATTTTGGAGGCCTCTTGCAAATAACAGCAAGGAAACTGAGTACTTTGCCAACAGCTTTGTGAATGATCCTCTAGCAGATTCTCCAGCCTCAATCAAGTCTTCCTATGACTGCAGCTGTAGCCTACATCTTGACTCATGAGAGACTCTGAGTCAGAACCACCCAGCTAAGCCACCATCAAATTCTTTACCCTTAGAAGTTGTGACGAAATAAATGTTTGTTCTTTTAAGTTGAAAGTTTTGGGGAGATTTCCTATCTGGCAATAGATAACTAACATAGACTTTTTCTCTGAAATTTTAAAATTTTTATTTATTTTTTAAGCTGGATATTGCTGCATCATCTTTCTTCTCCAGAAGAGCCAAGAGTTCATCTCTGCCTTTAAATCAGAGGCCAATTTAGCTGAGCATAAAATCCTTGGGTTAGATTTCCTTTTCTTCACAATTTTGTACATTTTGATTGTCCATTTTCCAGCACTGAATGTTTTACTCATTCCTTTACCACAGTTTTTGCATTCATTTATTGAATGTTTTAACTTGGTTGTTAAGTCTTTTTGAAATAAAGTTTATTTTTAAGAAAAGTTTTAGATTTATGGAAAAATTATGAAGATCATTCAAAGACTTCCCATATGCCCTGCATTCAGTTTCCCCTGTTGTTTATATCTTACATATATTGAGTTGGAGGGTTCAAAGATTTACAAAATGAGTGATTCTGACTAGATATTAAATATAGGTAGCTTTGGAGGCTCTCAACATGGAAGAAATTGCCTGGGGAGTGAGTATAAGAGGAAAGAAACTAGAGTAATGCTTTTTTAAAAATCCCAATACTTACACTGGAGAGGAAGAGGCAACACAGTAAAAATACAGGAGAATGGTCAGAAATATTGGAGAAAACAAGGGAAGCACCGTGTTAAATAAGCCAATGTAAGAGTTTCTAATGAAAGAAAGCAGTCAAGGTTATTAAATGCTACAGAAAGATGAAGCAAAATGAATATCCCTTCAATAAGTGACCTGGAGATCCCACTTTAAGTAGGAAAACAGGAAACTCACCAAAAATGAGCATATTCAGTATTTCAAAAGAAGAGTGACATTCTAGGGAATGTTAATAAAGATAGTGTAATATATTCTAAAGATTTCTATTTATAATTTTCAATAAAATGTAAGGCAAAGTTTTATTCATAAAAAAATTATATGCATTTCTGAATTTCCAAGTTCTGCATTTCCAATTGTTGTATACAAGTTCAACCTATATGTTTTGGGGACATTTCAAGATGCATCACTCTCCTAGGCATAGTTGATTAGACAAAGGGTGAATGCTTGATATTATATGGCCCTGTCAGGGTTCTTCCCCAAACCCAAATTAGGATTAGGAGTGAGAGAGCAAGAGTCAATTAATTTCTCCATAAAATTGCGATAATAATAAACTTGGAGATCCTTTTGCCCCCAGTGAGGTTTGTAATCACCAGAAAGCCATCTGCTTACCAAAAACAGGCAGCTTGTTTTAATCTCTCATTCATTAATTCTCTCCTTATGTCTTATTTGCCATTATACTATCCAGAGTATTCTTACCTTTTTTGTGTGCATTTTAGCCACAGAATTTCTAGTTTTTTCAAAGAGATTATGTCACTTTTCATAATTTCTAGTTCTTAGCTGATATTTGGATATTATACTTTTAATTCTAAGAGCATAGTAAGTCATCATTATTTTACAGTCTGTTGCTAGTAATTCCATTGACTAGAGTGCTTGTGGATCTATCGCACTTTTTATCGTGTAGATTGTTTTCCTATATTGTCCTTTTTTCTCATATTTAGTTGCGTGCTGGATGTTTTATTTTAAAAAGTCATTTGTAGAAATAATTTGAAGTTAAAGTTTATTTCCTTTGGAGGAAATTTTCTTTTGTTTTTTCCAGGTATTTTGGGGCATGTGCAAAACAAGTGATCTTAAGTTAATTTCAAGATGTAAGGTTTTCTGTGTCCCCAGATGTCTCTGAGGTTGACTCAAGTGCTTGCAAAGGGTGCATTACTTTCTGTTCATTTTTACTCTGAGTGTGTGACCCTCAGGAGTTGTTTACCATAGACATCTTCCCTTGCCAAGGCTTGGACTCCAGTTTTGTTGCTCTATATCAAAGAATTTGTCAGAGGTGTTCCTTAGGTTCTCAATGTTCCTTCTAAATCTGTGCACATCTCCTGCACAGAAATAGTCCTGAAGACCAGGCTTACCTGGATTTCTCCCATTTCTTCATTTGGTCTTTCTCTCTCTTCCTTCCCTTCTTCCTTCCTTCTTCTTTCTTTCTTACTTTCTTTCTCTTTCTCTCTTCTTTCTTTCTTTATTTTCTCTTTCTTTCTTTTCTTTCTTTCTCTTTCTTCTTTCTTTCTTCTTCCTTCCTTCCTTTCCTCCTTGCTTCTTTCTCCTTCCTTCCTTCCTTCTTCCCTCCCTCCCTCCCTTATTTCTTTCCATTCCTTCCTTCCTTCTTTACTTCCTTCCTTTTCCTTTCTTTCTCAGTCTCACCCTGTCACCCAGGCTGGAGTGCAGTGGTGTGATGAACACAGCTCACTGCAGCCTTGTCCTCCTGGGCTCAAATTATCCTCCTGCCTCAACCTCTCATGTAGTTGGGACGACAGGTGCCTGCCACCATGCCCAGCTCATTTTTCAAATTTGTAGAGATGAGGTGTCACTATGTTGCCCAGGCTTGTCTGAAACTCCTGGGCTTAAGTGATCCTCACTTTGGCCTCCCAAAGTGCTGGGATTACAGGCATGAACTACCACTACCAGGCCCAGCCACTTACCTGGATTTCTATATTTTCCTAGCTCTTGACATGGTTATTCTTCACCATCATTTTGAAATTTTTAATTGTTTTTAGTGGCTGTCCTATTTTGTGGAGCCCAAAGCTGACCCAACTTGTAGGTCCCTCTTTAAGAAACAGAATGCAAAATTAGATATGAGGCCTTGGGAGGAACTGTGCAAGTGAAGAGCCCTGTAATCTAAGCTCAAGTAGGTTCACAGTAAGTCCTCCTCTGTTGGCTTCACTTAGTGGTTAGGTCCAAATTATCTCCTACTCTGTCATTACCAAAAGTGGAAGGCATCATGACGTATCTTTAAAAACACATATCATTTTCACTGTGGTGTAATATTTGCATCACGAAGAACAGCAAAGCTAACAGAGCAGAACAACTCTCCCTTTTCACATGCACCTTCTCTTTGAGTGGAACAGCAGGCAGAATTACCCACACTATTTCTCTATTTATTTATATCTCACTCTCCCTCTTTTTCTCTCTTATAAGTAAGCATAGCTGAATATGTAAAAGCTAAATTTGCTATGATGGAACTCCATTATTATCTGTAATTTTTTGTGGGTTTCTTTAACATGAGTTACTTCTAAGTGCATGCCAGATGAATTTTTAGCAATTTTTATTATTAATTACCATTATTATTGCATTGTTACTAATGTTATAATCTGCATGGTTTATACTTTTTGGAATTGGGATTGTGTTGAGGCCAAATGGTTACCTTTTAAAGTTTTGTGTGTTTTAAAAGAATGCATATTTTATGTTGATAGCAGGAAACTCTATAAACCAATTAAATTAAGTTTATTAAACTTAAGGATAATAACATGAAAAGAGAAAGCTTTAACCCATTGGTTTATTTTTCTAAAAATATACAACTTTATTTAGAAATAAATATAATTTTAAAAATAAATGAAAATTTAGTCAATCAAAATATAAGAAGATGTCAAAAAAGAATATATATTACACAAAATAAAACATTAGGAATTCCTAATAAGAGGCAGCCCATAATGTAAGGTAAATAAAGCCCTATGTATTTCATCCTAAAAAGTTGTAGGAAGAAAATGGGAAATAGAGAAGGACAGGATAGCTGACAGATGTGTGTTCTATGAAACATTTGGGCTTCCACTTGGAAAAAAGGAAGTCTGTTACACAGGCATAGGAAATTTCAAGGGAATATGGTCTTCCATTAGGGCTTGGAAAATTTCTCTTTAGGGCTTCGGAGAGAGGTAATTTCTTAGGATGATCCTCAGGTAATCTTCAGTTTCCAGGCAATCTTAATGTCCCCTGTAGGAAGAATGGAATCCCACAGTTCCTGGAGGATGGTACTTGGGTAACAGCCTTTTGTGAACTAAAGTGAATACTGACATACTTGAATTTTTTAAAATATTTTATTTTGTGTGATGATTTCATAAACATCTTTTTAGTGGACCTACCATAGGGAAGAGTTGAAGTAGTCCTACTGCCAGAAAGAAGATGTGACAGACAACTTCAGGAAGAGCTAATTTTGAGCACTCAGGGTGAACTATTAGAATCTGCCCAGGTTTGGAGAGACCAATTTTTAACTTCCATTTTGGAAATGAGCAAGTCACTCAGTGATCAAATGAATCAGAGGAAAATTTAAAATGACTGTGAGGATACAAGCATTACTTCATTCATTCTACCACTAGGAGTTTGTGTGAGCCCTTCCTCTTTCTACCATATACCAAACACTAAAGGTAATACTAAAAATATTTAAGAACCAATATATTAAAGGTACTGAATAATTGAAACAGACACCTGTTTCACAAGAGTTAATAGAATATCAGCTGAATGTCAGTTCTGGAACACTGTCTTAGAGATAAATCAAAAAAGAGAGAGTGAAATGTGAAAAAATGAGCAAATAACCCCAAAGACTTAGCATTATCTAAAAGAATTAGTTAGCTTACTGTATTGGGCTAAATGTTAGGAAGTGTTTGAGTACTTTCTTACCACTTCCTAATGGGTGAGGGCTTACAGGGAAGACCAGATAGATCTTTGCAGGTCTGAGTTGTTTGCAAATTTGTGACTTCACACACACAAACACACACACACACACACATATATATATATTTCTATACACACACATACATATATACACACACATATAGACTTTAGACTTTTTGAGACAGGTATGAGAAACCAAAGGGGAACTCACTAGTTCACTGCCATATTAAACTCTTATGAGCTGAGGTGAGTGAGCTCTGTTTAGTTTTTTGATTTAGTGGGACATCCTGGGCATGTCCAACTAGATGTTGTTCTCAAGGCAGATTTACTATACTGGACTTGTACTATATTTTGTAATCAGACAGGAGTGGCATATGATACCATGGGAGAGAAAAAGATTGTCTAGATGGAAATTTTGTAGCAAAAAATAGAATGGCCAATCTATATTTAACTTATGGACATAAAAAGAGTAGATAACAAATGATATGTGAAAAGCTGCTCAGAGACTTATGAAACAAAACAGGAAAGTAAAATATCATGGAGAAGATGGAAAAAATATGACAAGTTCTTAGTATCATCAAATTCTAAAGAATCAGGCAGGCTGGTGTTCAGAATCTGGCTCTACCAGGGTTGTATAACTATGAGTTATTTATTTAAATTATCCAAGCTTTAATTTCTCTATCTGTAAAAAATAATAGTTGTACTTATATCATAGGTTTAAAATAAGGATCTGTGAGATAATCCATGTAAAGTATTTAGCACAGTGGTTGGCATAAATTCTCAGTAAATATTAGGCATTATTATTATTATTGGTTTTTGGATCAGAGTTGGTATGTGGCAGGAAGAGAGAAATCTTCCTCTGATTCAAGGACTGAAAGAAAGAGTAGAGCCTGAATAAATTTGGGGGTGAAAGGTAGAACATACAACGGAATTTATGTGAGGTATCATTTATCTCATTGCAGTGATCAAGATTGAATGTGATCATATGAGTTAATACTGCACTCAAAAAAAAAAGAAAGAAAAAAAAGAATTTAAAGTTCATATGCCTGACTATATGGGAATGGGAATAAAGTAAATGGATGTTGGGTTTATCCCTAAATAGGGTGAAGAGAGCTCTTAAAGTGGATAGTTAAGGGGATAGGACACATTTAATGTGGCTGATTGTGGAATTGAGATTGACACAGAGCAAAATAAAAACTGGAAGGTCTAATATGCTAGATGCAATGAGAGGAAAAGAAGCTTAAATGGTAGAGAGGAAATGAAATGTAGTGGAAGAGAGGAAGCAACTCATAGGTATAGGAGAAAGATTTGAGAGGAGAATTTTTGTTCATAAAAAAGGTGCAGAAATATTCCAGGTGATGACTAGGTTTGAAATTTATAGAAATGGAAATGGAGATCTTTTAAGACATTGAATCCAGATGTAGAAGTCAGAATCACCAAGTATAATATAAAGGATGTTTGAAAATGGGTCCTTTGAACCAACTAATTAAATCTTTGAGAAAGAAAAAAAAAACCTGGAAGGCTGTGAGTTATTGCAATGAAGATGGGGAGATCATAATACAAAACAAATTTTACAGACACTACAGATACATTGTAGTAGACCATTAACCTTAAGACACTAGCTGTTTACTATTCTGCAAATATTCTTATCCAAACACTATTCTGTGCTCTGAAATATTTAAGTTCAGAAATTACCTTTGGAATTGAGACCCTAGGCTGCAACAATGTTACCTATATGACTATTAAACCATAGGTTAAATCAAGCCATAAAATAGCCTCATACCCTCACTAAAATTAGATTGGTAGTGTGTTTTTAAATGTTATTTTTTTCAAATGAATTTACTCTAACAGTACTTCTTTGTTTTGGTTTTAAGGCTTAAATTAGGTGCCACTGGAACCATTACTGGCTTGGCAGATACTTGCTTCTATAGTGTGATTTGAGGGGTGTTTTGAGAGAAGGTTCATTTGAACCTAATTGTCTCTACCACTGGCACTTTTATTATCTATTAAACTGTTGCTCAGATGAATTTATCAAGATAGTTTTAATGAACCAGACGTCAACCAGAAACTTTAAAGAAGAGAAAGCAGTAAAAAGAATTTTGAGATAGAAGGGAAAACAAAATCAAGAGCAAGGAGTATTGCCAGAAGAGCTGAACGTCGTGAGCATCTCTACAAATGTAACGTCAGGTCAGTGCATACCAAACTAAGGGAAGAGGAAAAAAAGGAAGAAATATTTTTTACCTATTTTCCTGATTTGGGGTAGAGAAGGACTAGTTGTCTGTGCGCTAAATTCCCATCTTTATGTGTAATAAAAACGAAATGTTCAAGAAGCAGTTAAGCCTCCTTGAGTTGATTTAAAATATTTTCCTTTTGTGAAGATAGAGCCTTATTTTAGAAAAAATAATCAACTGAATGGTCTTATTAAAGAGTGGTGATAGCCGGGTATGGTGGCTCTCGCCTGTAATCCCAGCACTTTGGGAGGCCAAGGTTGAGTGGATCACCTGAGGTCAGGAGTTCGAGACCAGCCTGGCCAATATGGTGAAATCCCATCTCTATTAAAAATACAAAAAAATTAGCCGGGTGTGGTGGTGGGCGCCTGTAGTCCCAGCTGCAACTCAGGAGATTCATAAACATACTTATTTCGAATAAAAATATATAAATCAGACATGGCCAGTGGATTTAAAACAGTCTTAAAATTTAGCACTCCCCCAGATTTCACAAATCCAACTCAAATGCAACAGGTCACAAATTCAGATACCTGCAGGAGTAGCATAAAGGAGAGAAGCGTCCTGGTAAGGACTCCGAGCAAAGGGAGGACTCAGGAGTCAGGAGAATGGCGTGAACCCGGGAGGCGGAGCTTGCAGTGAGCCGATATCGCGCCACCGCACTCCAGGCCAGACGACAGAGCGAGACTGCGTCTCAAAGAAAAAAAAAAAAAAAAAATTAGCCAGGTGTGGTGGTGCATGCCTGTAATCCCAGCTACTTGGGAGGCCCAGTCAGGAGAATCGCTTGAACCCAGGAGGCGGAGGTTGCAGTGAGCCGAGGTCGCACCATTGCACTCCACCCTGGGCGAGGAGGGCAAAACTCCGTATCAAAAAAAATAAATAAATAAAGGGGGGGGTGTTATCTAATTTTAAGTGTACTTGCTTACCCTCATGGACAATGCTTGCTAAGGACTCAAGCAGGAGAGAAATGCTGCTTTAGGTAAATTACAACTAAAAGTATAAATTATCGTAGGTGAGAGTTGTGGAGTAAATAGTTTCTCTATTACAGTTAAACAGAACAATTGTCTTCTTGTGACTGGACTAGATCACAAGGTTTTTGCCAAAGGGTTCATGTGAACTCAAGTAATCAATCTTGTTTTGTGTGGGGGCCACATGGAGGAGAGAATGAGGCGGTTCTCAGGAGTGTCCCAGATCTTTTTTTTTTTTTTTTTTTTTTGCTTTTCCTGCACTCTTACCAATTAGAGAGGCAGAGTATTAGGTACAAATCCTGAAAGCTAGGAGGAAAACTATGAGGACTGTGATCTCTGGTGAAACCACAGATATGTTCTAGAAAATTAAAGTATTTTAAAGTTGAAGCAAGGAGAAAAGAGAAAAGACTCAGGGTTCTCTCTTCAAAGTTATTGCTGAAAAGGATATTTTAAACAGTTGATGGTATACCTAGTGTACATAAGGGTGTGTGTGTGTGTGCATAGTGTGTATTTTTATGTATGCTATAATGAAATAATCTGTAAATATTTGTATGATGTTTTATTTGACTTTTCTATTAGAGATGCTTTGTTGATGTTTTTTATTAAACGGATAGCATGATAATACCTGGTATAAGCAGAATTGTCAAAACGTATACATAGAAGCAGCCTGGATACCTAGGGCAGCTTACTCTTTGTGTGGGTTACCTTTTATTCTGAATTACTTGAACAGTAGATTTATAAACATACCTATATCGAATAAAAAATATATAAATCAGACATGGTCAGTGGATTTAAAACAGTCTCAAAATGTAGTGCTCCCCCAGATTTCACAAATCCAACTCAGATGCCACCAGGTCACAAATTCAGATACGTGCGGGAATAGCATAAAAGAGAGAAGCGTCCTGGTAAGGACTCCTGGCAAAGGGAGGACTCAGGACTCGCTTAGAGGGGGATTCTCTACCTGGCTCCAGGGGTTTGTTGCCTAGTGGGAATGTCAGCTCTGATTTTCCAAGAAAAAAAGAAAATTCTGTTTTTTTTAATGTAAAATCTTATAATTTTAAATACTGGTATCTAGTTTTAATTTAAAAACATGTATAGACCAAACAAATTTTACATCAGAGATAGTCAACTACCTATTTCACCTGATTGATTGAGTTTTTGTTGAATCTCTCTATATATTTATTTGCATTTTTTTGAATTGGTTAAAGTCCAAATGAGCTGCTCAAAAGAGAGTTCAGACTTCTAACATAAATGTCAAATGCGCTAAAGTTTACCTCTTTGTGAAACATTGCAAGAATTTGTAAATAGTCCTTTAGGATTTTATTGTGCCCGCAGAGTAAAATAGTGAATGAATTATGAATCTGGAAATTATAAATTCATAATATAAGCCAGTTAATTCAGTCTCAAAAGCATTGATTTATTTAATCTGGAACAGATGATTTTGATTCTTATGGAACTGAATTCACTGACTAAGCTATTCTTGCCCTGCACAGATACAGGATAAGAGGTCTGAGGCAACCATGGCCTACAGCAGTTTGGATTTGGTTTATAAATATTTTAAAGTTGTCAGAAATACCTCAGAGTTGTACAGGGCCAGAGATTAAGAGATTCAATCCAAGAAAGGGAAGGAAAAATTCCACTAATAATATCAAAAATTGGACAAAGGACGACATTAATGATACCCCTTACATTTTCCTCTGGCAGTTCATTTGAGGTGTGTGTCCAGGGCGGGGCGGGAAAGGGGGTATATTTTCTTTGAAAATAAAAATATCTTTCTGAAGGAAACCTTAGCTTTTTTGCAGCCTGAAGCATGGTCAGTGTCACTTAAATAAGCAATAATTAGTCTTGGTAAAACTTGTGTTTGAATTTTAATTTGAAAGTTGGAAAATTTTGATATTTAAAATATTGACTTTTTCAAAAAAAGGATAATTTTTATAGCAATAGAAAACCTTAATAAATGCCAAGTGTTTGCTGATTAACCTAAACATTGTTTCTCAGAAGCTTTTAGTTTAGGATTCTTTAATTAGAAACTTTAAGAAATTACTAGTCTACTTTCTATATAATAGGTTCTTAATAGAAGAAAAAGAATTGCATGATGATAAAGGAAAGTGTACTACTAGTTATACATTCATTTTATTCTGTATTTTGTATGAACAGATATGTATAAATATAATTAATTAATTAAATGAAAGAAATCACCAATAACAAAAATGGAAATTCACAGCTTCTAAAATTTTAACAACTTAATTCTTAATTTTAGATATGTTGATCACAGTGTTTCAAGTCAATTCTGAAACTTAGCAAAAGAGAATTTTAAGGAGACGTTAATTAGATTAAATAAACGCAATATATTTTATAGAAAATGTATGTATATGCACATCACTATACATCTGTTAAGATTACTGTCATGGAAAGCTAAAGAGCAACTTTACAAGAAAGGAAATTATTTGCAACCATGAAAGCTGTAATTAGGAAAGCATAAGGTGCCACAAAGAAGTCCCTCTAAATTCTTCTAGGAAAACAATGTCCAGGAATTGGATTCAGTCTTCATAGCATTTATGATAAGTGTAGCCAGCTTTGTATAGATGCTTAAAACTTTAAATATTATTTCCTAGAAGTGCTTGAAAATTCATTATGTTATCTGAGGGAGACCAAAGTCATTGTGGAATGACGATGTGAGAATTATTAGGAAACCATTGGAAAATGATAAGTACTCTTCAGTCAGTGGTAACTGCCATGGAGAATATTGCCTTATTCTTATTTTTGAAGTTTTGAATGTATGTGACAAAAAACAAAGAGATGAACAAAAGCAAACAAAAAACCCGTAAGATACATTCTAGCATTTTTAGCCATCTCTGATTCTTATTCAAGAAATAAAAGTGAAGATCCTTCTTAACAGTATAAAGCATTTTATGCCAGACATGTGTTGTATCCTTTAAATATTATGAATCTTGCCAATGTCTTTAATCGGTTCTCACATACATACGTGAGGATTCACATTTTTTCATGATTAGGACACTACATATTAGCATGCATTTCAGAGAACATTATTGTATGTGGGTTCTAAAAGTGAAAATCCTTGGAATTTAAAGTCGCATGTGGCAAAATCTTCTTGGCCAAAAGATTCAGTCAGTCTCTCATCTAATATAAAATAATCCCCATATCAAATGAAGCAGATATCTATCAATATTGAGA
Organism: Homo sapiens; assembly: GCF_000001405.40. Lineage (NCBI taxonomy): Eukaryota > Metazoa > Chordata > Mammalia > Primates > Hominidae > Homo > Homo sapiens. The sequence goes on from NC_000005.10 coordinate 87,661,477, forward strand.
AAGCAACGTGCTCGACATGTTGGAGGTCTTCCATTGACACTACTTAGTAAGGTTTTACCAATGAAGAATCAGTACATAAAAGACTTAATATCGTATCACACATGGGTCTGTGTTTGGTTATTATTCTACCGACTCATTTTTATCATAATTGTTTCTTTCTTCACTATTCTATGCTTAGGAGATCTGCTAATATGAATGGCTAAAGGATAAATAAAGCTGACAAACAAACATGAAGATATCTCTTGGCATTAAGATAATTATAGATCATTACATGGTAGGAATAGCCGATAGTTCTAAAGTAATATGAGTAAATAAAACAATTTAAACCTGTACTTCACCTCAGCTTTTTAATATTTTACTATTTCTCCTTTGTTGCTTCAAAGCTATGAATTTCAAGATTTATTTGTCACTATTCTCTATATTTTCTGCTGTACACAGTATTTGTGGTCTATGGCAACCAATCCCCTTGGGCGTTCTTTTGCTTTAATTTGCATAAACACAGGCATCATATGAATATTCAGTGAGTGGCTTTGCATTAAGTAAGTGCCCTTAATCAGCTTTTCAGTTCAGTTTTATTGGTTGCACGCACAGTCAGTTATTTCATCCAGAAAATCTGAAGGCCCTACAAACTAACCAGGTAAGGATTGTAATTCCTTGATGCATTTAATGAAAGAATATTATCATTTGATTTCATAGGTTCTAGAGAATGCTAAAAACATGATGGTTTTTTTTTCCCTATGTTTTTTTCTTTCCTTGGTGGTCAGGTGGATGCATGATTCTCTAATTTGCATAAACATCAGCTCTATGAATAATTCATCAGGGTTATTTTAAACACTAGGCTTCTACTTTGGATGGCACTAGGGTACCACCATTTGATTGGCTGGATGCTGTTTTCATCACCAGCAGAATTCCTATAACATGAAAGCACCTAAAGGAGCTGAATTGAATATACAGTTTTTGTTTTTTGAAAAATATCTGTTATCTTTTCAAAGCAAATTGTGCTGCTTTTCCCCTTCCCTACCATTAGAGCTTCTAGCTTTTCATAAATACATTACAAGCTCAAATGTGGCTATTTGTAGACTTGACTGGTGTCTGTGATTTCTGGAGAATGGGGTAGCAGCTGTATTCTTCTGAACATGCATAAACATGAGCAACATGTAAATAAGAAACCATCACATGCATATGGAGCCCTGGACAGCTCCATTGCTAGGTTTCATCTATTTTCTTTATCAGAATCTTCTCTTTGAATGATAACTTTGAGACTGTTTTATCTATTTTAAAATGCCATGAACAATTATGGTACTATATATGCATATAATAAGCATATATGATCAGACAAATTATTCCTTGTTGAATATGTTATTTATAGTTTTTTCTCAGCTCACCTGCAGATTTTTAAATTTGGTAGCTCTTTGTAATACAATAGTGGCAAGAGAAGTGTTAATCAAGAATGACCAGGATAATTAATTTAAATATTAGGGTGTAATTCACTCCCATAATTTACTAAAAATAAATTGTGCTTTTCTTTATGCTTGTGGAGATGAGGAATATGGAATTTCAAGGCATTCTTTGTTAGTCTTCTCAACATCACCCATTTGCCTCTCTGGTCTCAGAGTCCTCACTGACAAGATTCTCATTGTAAACATTTGTGAAAGTGAAACATTACAGACATACAGGACAGGAGAATGGTGCAAATTGAATTTAGTCTTTGGCACATTCCATTTTTGTTTTCCCACCCCATAGAGACATATCGCACAAATAAGATGCTAAGCAATTTCTGTTATGAAAGGTGTATTAAATGTTTTGTGCAATCAATTAGTCTGTGAAATCAACTATAAAATACTCCACATTCACTGTATTTCCTATACATTGTATGGATAAAAATACCAAAGACATCTTTAATAGGGAATAAAGAAGGCTGAAATTTTTTCAGTATTTAATAGGTTTTCCACATGAAAATTTAAATGTTCCCTTTACATCAATTTTGCACTCTAATATTCTTCACTGATTTTTTGTAAATAATATGCAAATATATGAGTTACATATGATGCTAAAACTGAAGAAAAATAAAATCCTTTTACTTTTTCTTTCTAGCTTTCTATTCATCTGATGATAGAGTTGGGCTAGTTCCTATTTTCCTTTATTTGAATTATTTGTAATTAGGTGGGTCTATTTCTATTTTCTTTTCTTTTTTTTGCTATACCTTTGGAATAAAAATATTAAAGGAATAGTTCTGAGACAATACTCCTTCACTCAGGACCAATATTCATAAACACATTTGACATATTTGTTATACTGTCTGTTGTCAAATGCTCCATAATTTAAAAAATGGAGTAAGGAATTCAAAACTAACATTGTTTAAAATGAGAGGAAATTGCAAATTTCTCTCAGAATTCCATGTGACCATATTAGGAATTGTGTTTTACATGTAATTATAAATAGTAATTTAAATCTCACATCTGCAGTGTGCTATGTTTAATTAAATCTTGCAAGATTCAATATGGATGCTGTTTAATTATCAGCCATTAAATGTTTACAGCTGTAATAAACACCATGCAGTCTTTACCATTACTATATGAAGATTGTAGATTTGGAACCATTTAGCCAAAGATGCTATTTAAGTGGTGCTCATTCTATTGAATACTTTTTTAAAAACCAGCTAAATATATATATATATATATATATATATATATATATAATCTCCAATGTTTATTTCTTTCATTTGTTTCAAAATAATCCAAATTATTTTCTAAACAAGAAATAAATTATAATTTCAGAAGATAGTCCTATTATTCTGTAGATCTGTAAATATATGTCTATAATTCTATTTTATGTGTGTATAATTTTGAAAGTGAAAAATTCTCATCTAATTCTTTTTGATTGAGCAATTGTGAAATGTACAATTTCACATGATAAACTGAATTTCTTTATGTTTTTGCCATTTATATTATTTGTAGAAATCACTGAAGCTTCTTTAAAGAAAACATATTTTTAATAAAGTTGAAAACTGCAAAGCTAGTGAGTGACCAAAGAATTTACCTTCCATTTCAGTAAAGGATTCTTCCTAGAAGGGCAAGAAGCATCTTGTATTGTATAAGCCTTATTTAAAGAAAACAAAGCATTCAGTTAAATTTTAAAAAGAAATCATCACATCAATGAAATTAAAATTATAATACATTTCTAAGGAGGAAAAATAATTTATATCTTGCAAATACAGTCTTTTATTTCATGTAGTGCTTTTATATTTTTAGACATTTTTAAAAGAAAAACAGTGAGATGTTATATATATATATATATACACACACACACACACATATATATACATTCATACTGTCAATTAAAAGATATTTTCATTAACATCTATCTGACCATCCTGCATGTGGTGAACAAAAAAAATCCATACACTGTTATCTGTAATTTTGCATCCTTGTTTTAATCTTCTGATTACATTGTCAAAAAAATGTTAGTGAGGGATTTAAGCAATTAAGACAGTGTATATATCATTGCTAAATCCACTGGTAGTTAAGGAAAATTGCAACCAACCAGTGCTTTAGTCTGAAAAGGATAAAACCTAAGTTAATCTACATGGAGTGAAGTACTAAACGAGGAATATTTTGTCTGCACAAAAGTTTTGGAACTGAATGATACCTTAAGGCAAGAAATATCAATTAGCTCATATACATCCCCTAGCAAATTCACACACCTTTATGAGAGACTGTTCTCAATGAAGATAAGATAGACCCTCTTAATCTAAACTTAATCTGACTGGTGGTTGTAAGTGTATGACTTGCACACCTATTTTCAAATCCCTCCACCCAGTGGCACTCATCGCACAGGAACCCAATCATTCAGATTTGCAAACTTACTTAAAGCTTTCTTGTCATTGTTCTGAATGGATACTGTTTAAACCTAGATGGACAAAATAAGTCAGACTTAATAACCTGTGTCTGAGTTAGCCAGTTAAGTTTCTTAGCACAGAAAAGGATGAGGAGGAGGAGGGGTGTGGCTTACTTTTGAGCTTTCCTGTTCTGATTGGAGCTCCCTCTACCACTCTAATTGCTCAACTCCATTAGTTAGAACTGTATACTTAATTTTTTAATAGGGTTAAATTTTATAAAGTTATTGGGTAACTTGAATTTGTATAGCTACTCTTAAAATATGATCCTAATTATAATTAGGTTATCACCCAATCGAAATAAAAATGCTGTAAGCTTTGGTAGTGTGTTTTGTAATTAAATTTTTAATTCAGACCCCGTTTGAAATTTCCCAGTGGCATTCTGAACTTAGTGATTAGGGAAGCAAACAAGTAATATTTGGGGTTAAAATTCCATTTTAAATATTATTTTGGGTGAAAATAAACCACTTTCTGTCTCCTTTTATCATACTATTTATCAAAGGCATATATGACATATTGATAGTCTACCTGGAATGGATACTTAAAACAGAAAAACTTTTAGAAGGAATGTTTAATAAAGGAGGATCTTTTAGGATTACCATGTGTTCTTTTTGTGTTTGTTTGTATAGTGCATTAAATATACAGATTTTTAATAGTGAATTTTAAATAAATATATCCGGATTCAAATAGTATTATATATAGTATTTTTTATATTTCTACTTATAAGTGAGGCTGGTTAAAAATGGAGGCATTATATTTTTTTCATCAAGTTATGGTATCAAAATTATATTAGCCTTATAAAATGTGTTGGACAGTTTTACTTCTTCCATTTTCTCTGATACAAATTGTACATGAATTATCCATTTCTTCAAGTTTGGTATAAATTGACTATAAATCCATCTGGGCCATGTATTTTTTGGGAGGAATCTTTTTTTTTTATTCAATTTCTTAAGTGGTAGTGATCAGTTGGGTTATTTATTTCTTATTGCGTGTATTTTGATTATGTATATTTTTCTAAGAAATTTTTCTTTTCATCTAAGTTTTCAATTTCACTAACATAAACTTATTCATTGTATTTCTTATGACATAAAACTTGTACTATGTGAACAATATGTCTCCTTTTCATTTTGTATTTTATTTGTCTGTGATTTTCTATTTTCCTCCCCTTGGACTTTCTTGTAAGAGTTTTGTCTATTATCAGTCCTTTCAACGTAACAGTTTGGGGTTTTGCATCTTACTGATACTATGTCCTTGTTCTTCATTTCATTGATTTTTGATCTTTAAAGCTTTGTGGTCTTGGATTCCTTAGAGGTATCTCTAAGAATTGTACCAGATCTAAAATTCTATGATTCTATGAAAAGTTATTCGATCTTTAGAAGCCAATGGAACTCTCACATAAACATAAAAGGAAGTGGGATACTAGTTTTTATTGGGTGAATTTACTTATGTAGATATCCTCTGTCTGGAGTAATCACAACTAGAGTATTTCACATTGCTATGAGTAGACTTTAGCCTTTAAGGAAATCTACTTGGAAAGACTCTTGCAACTCATGATAATAATATGATTTAAAAAATATTTTTAGAAAGTCTATCATTTTATTTAGACAGAGGGAACTCAATCTGCAGAGTAGTATTTGGGATATGTTGTTCTCAGAATTAAAAACCAACACATTAATTGCTTAGAAAAGGTTTGTGAAAAGTTCACAATATAACATGAAATCATTTTATACTCATATAAAGGGTCACTAAATCTAGTTGGGGTTTTTTTTTTTACATTTTCTATTTTGTGAGTGGACCACTCATATAAAATTATTTCAAAATCAAGCAAAGCTAATAAAAGTTCACCAGGATTCCTTGAAAGCATTTTCTTAGTAAAATAAAATTCATGCCTTTGGTATCTTAACATTAAGTCAAGTTAAACTCTTGGTTAATAAATAGACACATACACAAATCACAGACTGAATTCTTATCTGAGTGAAGAGTTGGCTTTTGTTTGCTTGCTTATTTACTTGCCTTTTGGTGAACTGTCCTAAGATGAATTGTTTATTCATAATAGCATTTATTATTTTTCTCTTAGCCTGCTAATGTGATAAATTGTATGGACTTAACAAATGTTGTAACTGATACTACATATTGGAACTATTTGAGATTTTATGCAAACATACTTAAATAAACTGTAGGAAGAAAATGAGAACTTTTTTGAATACAGTATTTTAACAAAATGATCTGTTGTCTTTTGGAATATAGTAACTTGGAGAACTATAACATTAGACTTTTATCATCAGTTTTAACCCCTTTACCCCTCTTTGATTTATAGAACACTAGTTTGACATACTTTAGTTAATAAAGTCACTGGTTCATTTATCTGCTTAAAATGGTAATATAAATTTGAGAAGGTTGAAATAATTCTTTAAAGATTGGTATGATATACAAGTGATCCAAGATGTAGAAAATAATTTTCTCTCAAATATAAATCATACTTACTGAAAATACTTTTCTAGACATGATTATTTTTATTCCAATGTGATCAGTTTTACATTTGCTTTTTAACATGGTTTCAAGAGTAATTTTCTACTTATTCCAAGGTCTGTAAATTGTTTAGTTCAATATCTGGTTCCCAGATACTTGTATCAAAATATGTCTGAGCTTGCACCTATATTTTCACATGAAATTAGAACATTAAACCTAACTTCAAATACTCAATTCTGTGATTCTTTTTCTCTGGGAATATCCAAATTCGTTTGCCACTAATTTTAAAGTCTTCTGGTCACAGTAAGAAGAATTTTGCCTACAAACAGACTATTTTAATAAGTTATATAAAGTACCCTGGAGAGAATTTGATTTCACATAGAAAAGATAAGAAAGTCTCAATAATAGTTGCTTCTTGATACATCTGAGACAATAAATTATATTTTAAAAGTAGTAATATCAAGATTTTGAGGGTTTTTACTAATAATTAACTTACAATACTTTTGTGCAATGTGATAGGATTTTTACCTGGTGGCCGATTTGTATAACATAATGGAACAAGCTGGGAATAGACTCAAATCTCATAACAGGCCTTGCAATTATATAAGTACTCTCCTGGAAAGGCATTATCATTCTTTTTAATGTAGAATGCAACATTATTTTGCCAGTATTTATATTTCATAAATTAAACATCAAATGTCTTCTGTCTTCTAGTTCGTTCTGTGAGAAATAAATGATAAATAACTTTTTATAAGAACTGAGACTCACATGAGGCAATCTGTTGAGGGGAAGCCACAATAAAAAAATATGTTGCTACAAATACTTCTCTTTTTATGTCAAAATTTGTAGGATTTTTCTCCGTATATTATCAGAAACAGAGAGGAATCTTGCCTCAAGTATTCATCCACTTCTTCTGTTTTATTCTCCACCTTAAATGCTAATCTTAGCTTATTATACCACTATAATTCTCATTGAGACTTATTGTAATATTCCAAACAATAGATCCAAACATGAGAAGGAAAATAAGGAGAAATTGCAGGTGATGATTTAACAAAAAAAAAAAAAAAAGCAAAAAAGAAATTCATGTAAATGCTTGAATGTGAGGCAAGAGAGACAGTGAAAGAGAGAAAAGAATAAAAGAATATTACAATATGCATATGCAAAAGAATGAAGTTGAGTCCTTATTCTACACAATATACAAAAGTTAACTCAAAATGCATTGATAACCTAAATGTAACACTCCAAGCCAAAAAACTCCTAGAAGGAAACACAAATGAAAATCTTCATGACATTAGATTTGGCAATCGTTTCTTGGAAATGTACCCAAAGCATAGGCGGCAAATGCAAATATAGATAAATGGGACTATATCAAACTAAAAAACTTCTGTACAACAAAGAAAACAATCAATAGACTGAAAAGGCAACATATGAAATGCAAGAAAATGTTGGAAATCATTAATCTGAGAAGTTAGTGTCCAGAATATTTAAAGAACTCCTATAACTCAACAACAAAAAACCATCCAATTAAAAATTAGGCAAAGAACTTGAAAAGATGCTTCTCTAAGGATCATATACAAATGGTCAGCAAGCATATGAAAATATGCTCAATAGCAGTAACCATTAGAGAAATGCAGATCAAAACCACAATGAAATACTACTGTATATCCATCAGGTTGGTTAATATCAAAAGGACAGAAAATAAGTGTTGGTGAGGATGTGGAGAAATTAGAAACCTTATGCACTGTTGGTGAGATTTTAAAATAGAGCACCTGCTGTGGAAAGCAGTATGGTGGTTCCTGAAGAAATTAAAGTTATAACTTCATATTACACAGTAGTCACACTTCTGGATATACAGTGGTCTCTTGGTATCTGTGGGAGACGGCTTCCAGGACTTCTAGAGAAAATCAAAATTTATGAACGTTCAAGTCCTTGATATAAAATAGCACAGTATTTGCATATAACCCATCACATCCTCCCATATACATTAAATCATCTCTAGATTACTTCTAATACCCAATATAATGTAAATGGTTATTATACTATATCATTTAGGGAATAATGACAAGAAAAAAATGTCTGTACACATTCAGTGGAGGTGCAATATTTGTTTCCAAACACTTTGATCCATGGTTGATTGAATCCACAGATGGAAAACCCATGGATATAGGGGGCCAACTAAGTATCTAAAAAAATTTAAAGCAAGATCTCAAAGAGACATTTGCATATTCATGTTCATGGCAACATTATTCACAATAATCAAGAGGTGGGAACACACAAGTGTCCATCACTGGATGAGTGGCTAAACAATATGTGTCTATACACACAATAAAATATTATTTAGCCTTAAAAAGGAAGGATATTCTTTCACATACTACAACATGAATGAACTGTGAGGGCATTATGCTAAGTGAAATAAGACTGTCACAAAAGGATAAATACCAGATGATTCCATTTATACAAGGCATTGGCAGTAGTTAAACTCACAAAACAGAATGGTGGTTGCCAGAAGCTGGGAGGAAGGAGAAATGGGGAATTGTTCAATGGGTATAGAGCTTCAGTTTTGCAACATGGAAAAATTCTACAGGTAATTGCACAATGTGAATATTCTTAACACTACTGAACTGTACACTTTAAAATGGTAAATTTTCTCTTATGATTTTTTGTACTACAATAAAAAAATTTAAAAGAACGTTGCATAATTCAATATGCACTAAGAAATATAGATGATTTTGCCAAACTTTTCACTATTAAGAAAATTGATTTAAAGTGAATTTAAAAATATATCTCCACAAATTTTTGAAAGAATAGTGTAATGCCAAAGTATTTTTATAGTGAAAGTCAGTAACATACACAAACTTAGAGTTTGAAAAATCTGGATAATTGTTACATTATATTGAACAAACAGGCAATTTGGCAAACCAAAAAAATGTTCATTTCATTCTAAATGTTATCTACTTATATTAGCTTTTGAGAGACTTAGAGCACATTTATATTTTATTTTATATCCTGATTAGAATTTTTATCATTTTATGCTTCTAGTATTTTAAATTATACAACTGTACATCTAGCTCTTTATCCATCCATCCACCCACCATGCAGTCATGTGTGTAATATTTATAATATATAATTTTCCTCCTTTTTCTTCCCTCTACATTGTAATACCTGTGAATTATTACCATTGCTATGTATCTCCAAATATCTTAATTTTCTAAGAACTTAAAGAATGATGAAAGAAGATTCGTTACAATTTTTAAGAATTATCATAATACTTGATGATACTGTGAGGCAAATCTTGTACTTTTTTATCTGTTTATAAAATCTCTGAAATGATAAGGGACAGCAAACTTTACTCTTACCCTTTTCTTAAACTAAATGAAAAGGGAGCTGGATCATGATTCACAATAGATGATCTTCTCACTCACTAATAACAACTATTGCGTTTGCCATTCTTCACACCAGTTGCTGTGTCAGGACAACCACATATTTTGTACAGCGCTCTCTAGCACGTGTTTTGAAATTTATCCTCCAGAGACCATCTGCTATAAATGGGCTGCAGTGCAGTTAATGAATATTTTATTGCTTTCTCTCCTTTTTCTGATCTAGAATGGAAACCATGGGGAAAATGTGAAGTGTCAAATTGACAGAGATGTTTCATTGATCCACTCATTCTCCGAAAGTGTTTTGTTAAGTATATGTGTGTATTTTATGTAATCAATTTACTAATGCAGATACACATCAGGGAAAACATGAAAGACTCAATATTAATGTGTCTAATTTTTAAGCATAATTTCTGCCATTATGAGTGCATCACTTTTTATTAACTTGAAATAAAATAGCCATTGACTGGAAGAATGAATCTAACAGGTCATACGTTCTCTAGAAAGTCAACTGTTATGAGAAAATCTGTAGTGAAATTATTCACCACCACCATATTTCTGTTGTCACTAAAAGATCATCTTTGCCTTGTGCTCCTGTGAAATAGTGCTAAATTTCTCAGATTGTTATTTGTCTACCACAGAATGAATGAGAGGTCCAGGTCAAATTTGGGGCATTACCCTTCCAAGTTCCTTCTTTCTGGGATAATTAATGAAATAACTCTGTTACTATTAGTGAATCGGTGTCTTGCAACATCACCCCTTTGCACTCCAGCAACTTCATATACGTTTTCTATGGTTTTAAAACACATCAGCTAAAATATCATGTGAAATCTGACAAGTTTATATTGCTCTGGCCAAGTGGTGCAATTAAAGGAGAACACTTATTGAAGATCTAGTATGTGTCCAATATCGTGTTAAACATTTTAGATGTATCATCTCATTTTATCCTCACAACCACACTAATATGTATGTACTTATGATTCACAGTATGTGCTCATGGTTCACAGCTGCATACCTCTCCAGGAATTCCCCCAGCTGAAGGTAGCTCCCTCACTTGATGGTAGAATAAAGGAAGAGAACAGCGAGGAGTTCAAAATGACTGAAGAGATGTGCCAGGAACTGGAGTCATGCCAAACAGCTGAAGTGTTATTCCTTAGGCCATTGTACTTAGGATTAAGTAATATATATATAAGTTGACATAAAATGTAGGTATGATCTACATTTTATAATTGTGGAAGTTCAAGTTAAGAAAGGCCAAACAACTTATTCAAGGCCGCACATCTACTAAGTTGAAAGTTGGGTTAGTCTAATGCAAAGGCCTATACACTTTATAGTATATCATGTGGACCCCAGGTTAATATTGATAGCCCTTTACATTATGAATTAAATTAGAATTATGGTAGATAAGTTCATTGCATTTCTAAAATAAAAGTAGAAACTGAAAGAAAAATTTGAGTTCTTATTATATAATGAACACTATGCAAGTTTTCCAAATGCTTTCAAATGTTTTCTGCTGAAACCTTAAGATAAAATTAGATAATTTCTACAGATAAATGTGATACATATGGTTAGAATTCTGAACTCTAGACTTCATTTCTAGTTAATATAGTACATATTTTTCTCAATTAAGGTGGATAATTCATTCTTTTAACCTCATATAAACATTATAATTATGTAGGTTTTGCTTTTAGATGGATTAAATGATTTTTTTGTTGACAAATCAATCTATTTACTCATCAAATATTTGCTGAGTATATACTATATGCCAGGCACCCTTCTAGGTGTGGGAGTTGAGCAATGAATGAGAAATATATGTGCCTATGAATTTCTAGTCTACTGATTTTCATCTCTGGAACAAACTCACACACTACATTGAAATACATTAAAGTTATAGACAATATGCCTATTCAATAACTGTTTTCTGCCATTAGTTTGATTCAAGTTGTCGACATGATCAAAACATCAAACCTGGGGTACATGAACTTAAAGTATAATAATAATAAAAATACATTCTAAAAAAATCGAACCTAAGGTATATTTTAATCTACTTATTGGTAAAAACAATTCCTTCATTTTTTTTTAGTCTCAAGAATTGAGTAGAAACAAAGCCGAGACAGGCATTTAGTTAAAACAGTAATCTTACCTCTTTCAGTCAACAAATAGCATAAATAGCAAATTCTTAAATGAAGTAAGTGGTGGTGTTGCTGAATCTTGTTTAATGAGTTTTTGGTAATCACGTCTCTTATGTTCCTTTGCTTTCTTATCTCTATTTCTGTATCTAATGCCTAAGTCGTTTAGTTTACATGGATCTCATTATCTCTCAGCATCTTTACATTCACCCTTTTTCATATTTATTTTCACTCATTGACCTTGCTTTTTCCGTTTCTCCATTATTTCCTTGCTTCTGAATTGATGGCATAAAAAGATTCAAATCCATTGTATATGTGAAGGTGTCTAGTACGTGTAGTTACAATGCTATGATATAGTACTGTGATGTTTCAGCATATATGTTGAGCCATTACAAATTTTGTTCAGGTCTTAAAATTCATTATTATGAATATATGAATTTTCTTTATTTTCTTATTACTTGAACAGAATTTAAAAGATAGAAAAATATAGAGAATAAGGGTGAAATTCCCCCACAAAATGCAAATATGCCCATATAAAAATTTTTCCCAGTAAAAAGTGGACAGACCAGAAACAAAAAGGGGAAAAATAAGTAATATTCACAAAAGCTAATGTAGGTGCTTCTTCTTTAATTTACACACAAGTGGGCATAAAAATTGAAAAACAATTGTTAGGTAGAAAGTAGACTTTTTAAACCTTTGCTGCTGGTGGGTAATTGACACAGGAAGGGAGCTTTGAGCAAAGACTTTTGGGTACAAGAGACGGAGCTGTTTTCTTCCTGTCAAAGCCACTACATCAAAGAGAATGTGTTTAAACATTTTCCCTAGTAGTTGACTTACTTTCAGAATTGGAAAACTTAGCCTGAAATTGAAATTACAGTATTTGCCTATATATGTGCATTAGAAAATAGAAATAGACCTAGAAATAGCCTGTGATATAGAATTACAATTGGTGAATACTCTGCACTTTTAAAATCAAAACTTTGAACAATATGCTATTAGCCTATTGAGATTCACACAGGGAAGCAGATAATTGACATGAATTAGGACATAGTTGATGTTGATTTAGTGACATCACCAGATGATAAAAGAAGTGGCCGACACAGGAACAATGGCAAAGATATGCTGCATAGCTACACCACAGTTAAAGTACAGACAAATATTGTAAAATTATTTATTTATATATTAATTTATTGGGATTGCATAATTTATTGAAAATCTGGGCACTATGATAGATGTGAGGAATATAACAGTGAACGAAACAAATACAAACAAAAAAATATATAGTGGTATATACACTGGATAGTGGTAGTACACACTGCCTACCCAGTACCTACTCTTCCCTTTCCCTTAGTAAAAACAAAAAACAAAACCCAAAAAACTCTATACTATTGGGACCACTAAAGTGCTCAGATAATAATGACACTTTCCATCCTCCCTTTCAAATAGACGTGGCCAGTGAAATGTAAGTAGAAGCCAATGGATGAGTTTTTCAAGAAAGTTATTCAGCTGGGAGGTATATTCCTCTGCACCTGCTCCTTTCTCCTTTCTCCTATCCAGAATATGAATATAATGCCTGGAGCTGAAGCAGCCATTTTGAGATCAAGAGACAACTGGAAGATAGAAACAATATTTGAAAATGTAGTGCAGAAAAAATGGAGGCTGGTTCTCTGGCAAATTCTCAGAGTAATTGTAGAAGTTCAGAAAAAACTCATCTCTGAATTCCTTCCGCATGAAAAATAAAATCATTTATTCATCTTGCTGAAGCTATTATTACTTGGGTTTTGAAAGATATGAAGCTCTTTCTAATCTTGACAGATTCCTACATAATAGAGAAAATACATTACTTCTAACACAAACATGAATTTATATACATATTGAAATGTTATTCCAGATAAGGATTTGGTTATTTCCAACCAAATCCTCCATGTAACCCTACCACCACTCCAGGCTTACAAAGCCCTCAGTTGAAAGACTGCTTTCCTAAGAAAATATTTAAAGTATTTTAAGAAAAGTTGTCTAACCAGAGAACCTGGTCAATCATTCTAAGCAGTTTTTGGTGTTCAGGATGGATGAACTAGCCAAGAGCCTCTCACCCAATAAATTCCAAGGTAAACTGCTCTTGTGTTATGCTTTCTCTTGTGTCTGCTTTGCTTTCAACTTCACCATTTTCTAAATTTTCATAACACATCCTTTATATCAAAATTAATTGTTGAATTAACTAACTTTAATAATTTTATCTCTTCAGTAGAATTACCCTTGCAACAAGAACACTGTTTCCTCATACTAGGTTAGTGGCCATGCTCAGACTAGGACAGGCTACTCAGTTATTAACTAGATGACTCCATGATCCACGGATCCTTGTTCAGTGACTAAAACATGGTCTTGCCATTTTTATAGGAATATTTTAAGTTTTTTAGTGTTTCTATCTGTATGTCTTATAAGCTAAATATGTTTTATGACAACATTTAAGAGTTTCATCTTTTGTTGCAATTTACAGAAGTATTTTTAGAAGGGTGTCTTTAGAGGAGATCTTAGTGATATATTTAGTAACATTACTCAACGTGTTGCTTTTTCATTCTTTCATTTAACAGATCTTTCTTGTACTCTCTATGTAGCAGGCACTAATCTAAATTGGAGGGGAGAAAGGGGCAGACAGGACAGGAGTGAGTGAGGCAAAGTCTACCCCACAAAATGTCTACACCACAAAAAGTCTATGCCACAAAAAATTCACATTCTAATTGGGAAAGCAGACTATAAACAAGTATGCAAATGCATAATATACATAGTAAGAATACATAGTAATACATAATATACATATTAGGAATAAAATGTGTACAAAGAATAAATAGTAAGAATAAAACATTCTGGTAAGAAATTAAAGTAGGATAGGAGGGGAGAGAACACTGGGATGAGAATTAGTTTGATGTGAAAGGTAGCAAAGCCAGCAACATAAAGATCTGGAAAAAAATGGATTCCAAGGCCTGAATTAGAAATAAGAGGGGTTTATTTCAGAAATAGACAGAAGGCTAGTATAGTGAGGACCGTGAGTGAGGCAGAATGGTAGGAGAGGAGCGCCCAGAGGGAAACAGGTGGTGCAGGACCTTGGAGCTGAAAATGAGAATTGGATTTTGCTCCAAGGGTAATTATAAGTTACTGGAAAGTTTAATCAGGGTAATGCATTATCAGAATTATTAATATGAATTAAATTGTTCTTCTGGCTACTGGGTAAAGGGGAAAATATTTGTGAGCCTGAGTAGAAACTGGGAGACCAGGTAAGAGAGGAAGAATGTAGTTCAGGTGAGAAATAATGTACATTGGACTAGGAGGGTAACAGTGAGGAGTGAAAAGGGAAAATTCAGAAAATATTCAGCAAGTAGAACTGACAAGACTTGCTGATGCAGTGGGTATGAGGTTGGCAGTGTTTAGTCCAGGGTCAACATACAGAGCAGATGAAATCCCAGAGAGACAACCTTAACACACTGAGGTATTGAATAAAATATTTTTGTTTTATCCTGAGAAAATGCAACTTTCCTTAAAAGAGCTGGCCTTTCAACAGGATGACCTGTCAGAGGATAAAGGGAGTCACAGAATCCTTTGTGAAGAATTTTTAGCTAATAATTCTTTTAAGTGGCTAATCAAGAAGTGGAGACAGAAAAAACAAAAGATGATAATTTCGTAATAAATACTATTTTATGAACAGTGTAAATGATCTGATTTCTAAATCACAAATGTTTAAGATTTCTTTTTTTATTTTGTCTCAGACTTTCACTTTGTCCCTGAACAAAAAAAAAATTGACAATTTAAAAATTTATAAGACTAGATTGGTTAAGTTGAAAGTATTCTCTTAGAGTAGGATGCGAGCTATATTTTATTTGAATTATCAGGTACTATCAGCAATGTAGACATTTGGAGAAAGAAGTGCATATCAGAAAATTGACAGCTTTGTGGATGGCTTGAAAGGTAGGAATAAGATATATTTTTTAAAAATACCAGAGAAAAGGAATGAAGCTTCCCAAATGCAGAGAACTTGGTGATTAAGCACATTGTCAATAGAGTCTGACAGTAGGTATGCAATAAGAGTTTGGGTATTTCCTACAAAGATGCTATTGCGCCAGGGAGATAAACACACATCCACCAATTTTCTCTTGGGTTTGATGAGTTTGCCCCAGTTCTTCCACAGTCAACAAGACTAGGATTTAATGGTATTATTGTTGATTTTACTGATTTTACTGGGAACATTTATCTGGAATATGGTGGGTTTGTAACAGATCACAGAGGGAGGAGATTCAGTATGTGATTGATAGATAAGCAGATAGATAGACACTGAAACAGCTGTGGCTAGGTTGTTGTAGGCAAATGGAAACTGAAAATATTTAATGTGCCACTAAATAAAATTTGTTTTTTACATGATAGCTTTTAGACATTCTTTGTAATTTTAGAAATTAAAGGCCAAAAAGAAACTGATGAATACATGGGGTTAAAAGCTTATTTGAAAACACTAAAATTTTAGCTCTCAATTCCTATTAAAAATCTCAGTGTAGGAAACTTCTAAAAATGAAGCATGATCAAAGAGCATGAGCAATAAAAGTTTTTGTCAGAGAAAGCTTGACTTTCCTAACTTAAGCTAGACTGTCAGGTTCACCAGGAGCAATAGTGTAACTCATAGTTGGAACTTGAATTTATCAAGTAGGGACTATGCATTAAAATAATTTCATTTAGTGTTCAAGCAACCCTAAGATGTGGTTATTATTGTAGACATTTCACAAGATAAGGAAGGAAAATATTATCTGGAAGTGAAGTGGTGGAAGTATGATGCAAACTCATACTCTTTTCATGAAATTTCTACATCTTTCTCTCAGTAAGTCTCTTTGTTAGCAGTAGGGAATCTTCCATTAGTTAGAAAGAAATGACTAAGAGGCAGATTTCAGCTCCGAAGGTAAAAGGAAGCACTGTCTGCCCATTAAACACTCTCAAATAAAATGAACTTTCCCAGAAGGTATTGAGATCTCATGTCTATGATTATATTCTGTAATCATGATGAAATAAATGATTAAGAATGGGATTTTATTAATAAATTCAACTTATTATAAAAAAGGAGTAAGGTAAGTAGATGTCACTGATAATAGCATCCAAGGAAGATCAGGAAAGTTCAGACCCTAACCCCTTCACCTCTGTGCAGAGACCTGAAAATCATCACTGTTCATCTTCCATTGCCTTGCAGAACAGTAAGGGTTGAAACTGAAGGCCGATTGTGAATACTATCCACCGGGAGCTTCTTATGAATTGACTCATGTTCCTCAGATAATAAATAACACTAAAAGACACCAGTTAGCTTCTGACCTCAAGGAGTGCTACTTTCATCTCCTGCAAGCTTTGAAAAGGGATCTGATACCTGACAACATCTTGACAAAAGCACATCCCATCTTCTGATGGAAGCTGAACCAAAATTATTGATGTCGCTAGTGATTCAGGGTACTCTAGATTGTTTGGAGTCCTATATAAATACATTTAATAGACAAAAAAATTGCTGCCTTAATCTAAGCAGAAATGACCTTAGTAGATAGATACTGCTTACCCCACTGATGCATTAGAGCTATACTAGTTCTACTCCTAATTCTTGAGAAGCTGTGTTTTCTCTAATTTATTTCCTTTTTGATCTTCACCTATAGTTTTGCTAGGCTTATTTGTAACTTCTGTATCCATAAATAAATAATCGCTGTGGCTTTAGCATTAAATAATATCTATCTATTTAATATTTTGAGTCATCATTTTTATTGTGGCTAATGATAATGACTGGGAATTAACAGAAAGGTGACAGATTTCTAAAGATGCCTTTGAAAAATGGCTATTTGCCTCTGTCCTCTCACCTTTGAAAATAAACTGTATTTTTTAATCTTTGTTATCAATGAATATTATAAGATCTGAACACTGTTATGCTAATATATATGTGTGCATCTATCATAAGAAATATAGAAAATATTTATTACAACTATTGGCAAGAATGTGGAGTAACTGGAACTCTCTTACACTGCTGGTTGGAAAATAAAATGTTTTAAATACTTTGATGAATAGTTTGGTAGTGTCTTAAATTTTTAGATACACATCTACCAAATAATCTGTTATTCCATCCTTAACTATTTGTCCAGGAGAAATAAATATAATTTTCCATCCAAGATTTGTATGAAAAAGTTCATATTAGCTTTATTTGTAATAACCCCAAACTGGAAACAACACAAACGCCCAAATACAGGTGAACAGTTAAAAAAAATGTGTTCTATCCATACAATGGAATACTATTCAGCAATTAAAAGGAATGAATTATTGATGCAGACTACCATGTAGATGAATCTCAAAATTATTATACTGGTAAAAGAAGTACACACTGAGTGATTATATTAATTTAAAGTTCTTTAAGAAGGCAAACTAGTCTATAGTGACAGAAGCAGATCAGTGGTTGCCTGGGGAGCCAGCTGGAAGGGGAGGATGGGCATGGGAAAAGGAGGGATTATTAAGGGACAAGAGGAAATTTTGAGGGTTGACAGATTGGTTCACTATATTGCTTTTGGCAAAGCTTCTCTGACAAATATTTATTTCAAAACTTACATTGCGTTTTCAATACATGCACTTCATTTTATGTCAATTTTATCTCAATAAAGTTGTTTTAAAACTATACTACATAAGTGAGGTGCTTGTTTTTGAAGAAAAATATTTATACTTAAGTCAAAGGTCATAATTACATTTATGAAATTTGATTAATATTTTGTTAATATATTCAGAAGGAAGACTAGTCACTTTAAAAAAATACGCAAAATGCCAAACAACAGTCACAACAGAATATGTGTCATCCTGACAATACCTTCTGGTCTGTCCCCAGTGAGAAAATTTTGGTTATAGAATTCATACAAGTCTTTTCAAAGAGCTGGTGTTGGAGATGTTGAAATAAAAGAAAAAAACCCTATGCATAACCTGTATTACAATGGATATCATATTTGGTCTATGTTTAGCTCCATTTTGGTTCCAACTAACAAAAAGGAAAATGAATTTTCAAATAGAAACGAACCTTCTTTATAATGGAATCTGAATCTGCTACTCTGTTATTGCTGTTTGCAATGAACCATTACCTAAGTCCCAATCATGTATCATGTAGTGATATTAGTAGTCACTCTGGATAGTACCCACCTCATGGAAATGATAGAATTGGAGTCTAGAAAACGTCTTTATTTCATGCTTCTCAACTGTGCTGTACTTCAGTGTGAAGAAACTCTTTTTTGTTCAGTACCAATATTGCCTTCTCCTGGTAGTAGCCTCAGTACTACTGTATATCTTTCTATTTACTCTAAAGGTAAAAACAAAACAAAACAAAACCCTTTCATTTATTTGCATTCCTGCTATTTCTTGTCATCTAAGAATTGTACTATATCACCCAGGTTCAGTTCTAATCGGATGCAGTAATACTTGCTGTTATAGTACAGAGTGAAAGGAGCTGCTGTCTGTAGGCTAGTATTTAGTTGTAGTTCTCCCTTGTATTGTAAGGTCCTCCTTTGTTGCAGGCATTTACTATTTTCAAACAGAAATTCAGTAAAGAGTTTCAAGTCTTCATGATACTTTGATACCTCACTGAGTAGCAGTGTGATATAGGTGGGATTAAACATCCAGATCCTGTCTGTGAAAAAGGATCTTTCTTCCAGGCATTAAAAAAGGCATTTCAGGTCAATTGATAATGACTTAACAACTCTGGGTACCCCCAGGAACCTCACCGTTTAATAACTTACTCAGAAGAGACAGAGTATATCCAAAAGGTTAAAAACACAAACTTAAGGGCAGCTAGGGCTGGCTTTCTGGGTGTGCAACCTGTGCTTATAAGGATCCTGTTCTGTTTAAGGTTCTGTTGTCACTGTCTTGAAACTCTTAATGATTTTTGAACAAGAGGTTCCACATTTTCATTTTTCACTGGGTCTGACAAACTAGGTAGCCAGTCTTACTTATGGCTCAATGCATAAATTGTGTGACCTTCTAAGAACAGGTTTCCTCATCCATAAAATGAAGATACTGTTGTACCTACCTCCCAGGATTGTTCTTAGGAGCATGTAAGAAAAAATTTAGCTCAATGTCTGACACATAGTAAATACTGAATAAATATTGGCTATTATCTTTGTTGTTATTGAATCATCAGGTTCATTTCTACGTGCTGTTTTAAAATGCCTATAAAACAGAAAATTTTACTTCAAAGATGTATATTAAATTTTGTAATGTATATTGGTGTGTTAACTTTTAAAATGTACATGTAAATATTATAATTTTAAAATAGGTTATGTATATTAGTGACTTACATGCCATTTGCATGAATTTCCTCAGTAGAATTAAGTTTAAATTACACTGAATTACTGAATCCCATATTTCAGAATGATCGATGATGAAGAATACTTTAGGGTTCTCCTCACCTTGACTGAACTTCAGACAGGTTTCTTCTTGACTATAGGCTCCTGATCTTTTTATTAGAGCATTTACTTTAGATAATCTGCAATTATGTTCTTTTTCTTTATCCAATCCACTGTTGATGGGTTGATTCCATGTCTTTGCTATTGTGATAGTGCTGCACCAATCGTGACTATGTGTGCCTTTTTGGTAGACGATTTATATTTCTTTGAGTATACACCCAGTAACTGGGTTGCTGGGTTGAATGGTAGTTCTATTTTTAGCTCTTTGAGAAATCTCCAAACGGCTTTCCACAGGGGCTGAACTAATTTGCATTTCCACTAACGGTGGCTAAGCCTTCCCTTTTCTTCACAACTGTCCCAACATCTATTATTTTTTTTACTTTTTAATAATGACCATTTTGACTGGTGTGAGATGGTCTCTTATTGTGGTTTTGAATTGCATCTCTCTGATGATTAGTAATGTTGAACATTTGTTCATGTGTATGTTGGCCACTTGTATATCTTTTTTTGAGAGGTGTCTGTTCATATCCTTTGCCCATTTTTTAATCTGGTTATTTGGTTTTTGCTTGTTGATTTACCATTTGACCCAGCAATCCCATTACTGGGTGTATACTCAAAGAAAAATAAAACATTCTACCAAAAGACACCTGCACTTGGATGTTCATTGCCATGCTATTCACAATAGCAAAGACATGGAATCAACTAAGGTGCCCATCAGTGGTGGATTGGATAAGGAAAATCTGGTACATATACTGCACAGATACTACACAGCCATGAAAAAGAGTGAAATCATGTCCTTTGCAGCAACATGGATGCAGCTGGAGGCCATTATCCTATGTGAACTAACATGGGAACAGAAAACCAAATACTACATGTTTCACTTACAAGTGGGAGCTAAATCTTAGGTTCACATGGACATAAATATGAGAACAGTAGACACTGGGGACCCCAAAAGACAGGAGGAAGGGCTGAAAACTTCCTATTGGGTGATATGTTCACTGTCTGGGCAACAGGATCAATAGAAGCCCAAACCTCAGCACAATGCAATATACCCATGTAACAACCTGCACATGAACCATCTGAATCTTAAAAAAATGGAAAAAATAAAAATAATAAATATAATGTTTTTCTGTTCCTTTGATATGTAAATTTCCTCTGAGCCCCTGGCCAGTTTTACAACTTAGGAATGTCTTTTCATGGATCTGGAAGCCATGTCTTTGAAATATAATCACCAGAAAAAGATTGCACTCCCATCCCCCAGTCTCTGTGAGAAGATAGGGGCCTAACTTCTTCAATAAGCAACAATTAGCAAACTCAGATGGCCTCACTGCATTGATCAACCTCCTTTCTAACATCTTCCAGTACTTGTTTTTCACTAACTCACTAACTCCTCCTGTCTTTTGTTTCAGTGGAGTTAAGTTTAGTCTTTTTCCCCTATTGCAAAAGTCTTGAATAATGTCTTCTCTGCCTGTTTAATTCTGTCTGGTGCACTTTTTCTTTGACATCGAGGACACTTTAGGTGTAGGCTTTATGACATGCAGGTTGAAAGTGTGACCAGGGAACCAGGCTGTATGGATTAGATCCTGGTGACACTGTTTATCATATAGGTGTGTTTGGGCAAGTATCGATCTCTCTGAGTCTGTGTTTCATCATTTATATAACAGAAATATTAACAGTATCTATTTTATTGAGCTGTGAGAAATAATTGAGATATCCATTTATAGTGTTTAGCCAATTTAAGCTTGGCTAAATAAATGTTAGCTATTAAGAACTATCGCAATATATGTTACCTGTTAATTGTAGTCACAGCATAAAAAACATATTATTTGGCCTTGGCTTTGGTCCTAGCTTTCAGCATCTCTTTTTATGACTACTGGAAGAGTTTGTGATTTTCTTTTCCAGCCTGCAGCTTTGACTACTCCTTCTGATCAATCCTTAACACAGTTTTTTTTCTCTAAACTACAGCTTCCATTATTTTTCCCATTCTTAGTACCCTTCAATACTTTCCCATTAATTTGAGGATAAAGTTTAAATTACATAGTATTGCATTCACAGGGCATCCAGATATGGCCTGAGCCATTACTCCAGCTTCATTTCTAATGACCCTCCCAAATCTGGCCCCAGCCATCTCTCCAGCCTCATTTCTGGTGACTCCCAGATCTGGCCCCAGCCATGTCTCTAGACTCCAAACTTATTCCTTATAATGCTCCCACTCACATCTCTCTCAATGTACCCAGTCCCTCATCATTCCAACTTCATCAGGGTCCTGGCAGCATTGTGTTATCTACTCAGTGGCTCACACCACTCTCTCTCTCTTTGCTGGAACATCTTTTTCTTTCTTATTTCCCAGGTACGAAGCATCCAGTTTTTAAGATTCAGTCAAGTGTGAAATCCCCTGTGAAGTTTTTATGTTTGTTTATTTTTCTCCTAATTTTTTCTATATCTTAATTTTGAAATAACTTGTGCTCATGGTTTAATATTTACAAAATTCAAAGATGAAACGTGGAGATAATTTTCTTCATATTTATTTCCTTTTCCATACCCCTTCTGAAATCTCTCCCTTGTCGAGTTTCATTTTATTCTTCTTTTTATTGCATTTATAAATATTTATACAGAAAAACACACTTGGTATACATGTTTACACAAAATTATAGTCAGACTATACATACAATTCTAAAACTTGTTTCTTTTAAAAATGTATTTTGTGAGTGATATCATTTAATCCCATAACGATTCCATGAAATAGGAAAGAGTATTATCTCCTATTTTCCAACTGAGAAAACAGGTTCAGAGAAATTAACTCTACTGCTTAAGCTCATATGGATAGTAGTAACAGGCAGAGATGGATGAAAAATTAACCTATCTGACTCTAAATTGCTTTATCTCAACAATGTTAATATGTGGGTAATCTCAGTAAACAAGAACTGGGCTGACAAGTTGGGAGAATCTGGAGAGGGTTGAGGGACCAAAGGTGCTGATAAGAACATCATGAAAGCTCAGCAAGAATAAGGTATGGCAGAGGTGAGATAATGGTAGGTGGTCATCGGGAAAAGGCCAGGATTTGACGTCTTATTAGTAAAAGAGTTTGGGACCAGAGTAGGCTTAAAGAATCATTAATCTTGGTAAGAGAAGTGCAGCTGGAGGTAACTGGGAAAGATAAGGAACTTTGGAGTCTTAAACCTCACTTCTCAGAAAATGTGGTAGAGACAGGGAAAGCTGCCTGAAGTTTCCTAAAGCTGACACCTAAGGTCTGGCCATATGGGACTGTGTGTGTTTTGCTGTTTGTGAAGTTAGAAGGAATGGCAGGAAAGGTGTTGATTGTTCTCTAGGTGATCAACCATCTGGGTTTGCCCTTTGCCCATGACATGTGTCTTAGACCATGAGGGTTGCTATAACAAAATATAATAAACTGGGTAACTTATAAACAATAGACATTTATTTCTCATGGCTCTGGAGGTTGGGAAGTCTCAAATCAAAGCACTGGCAATTTGATGTCTGGTGAGGGCCCTCTTCCTCATAGACAACCATCTGCTCACTCTAACCTCACATGGTGGAAGGGGTGAGGGGTCTCTCTGGGGCCTCTTTCATAAGGGTACTAATCCTTTTCATGAGAGCTCCACCCCGATGATACAATCACTCCAAAAGGCCTCACCTCCTAATATCATCACATTGCAGTGAGGATTTCAACATATGAATTTGGGGGGATATGAACATTCAGATCATAGCAACATGGGACTTTCAGTACTAAAACTGGAAAGTACCAAACAAACAAGGATGAAC